>NC_000002.12:114762345-115065375 GCF_000001405.40 Homo sapiens
CCCTCCTGTTGCATTGCTTGATATAATGGTATAAACAACTAAGAAGCTGAAATAATATGATGTGAACTTTCCTAAAAGCCAGTCTGAGAATTCTGCAATAGGAGCTACTAAGTAATAAAAAAGAACTCAGCTGGAAATATACTTTGAAAAAATAAATTGGAAGATGGCTTTAAATGCTTTTGAGTAGTCCCATGGAATATAAAAGGAAGCAGAACACAGAAAATGATAAACAAAACTTTCAAGACTGACTCAATAAGTAGCTCTTAAAATAGCTATGAGTTTCCCTCCTAACACCCAGCAGGCTGCCAATAACCAGACAGACAAATCGAACAATTAAATGCTATGAGGCAGCATCAGAAAAGATCCATAACAACATTCTGAGCAGAGCCTTAACCACTGCCTGAATAAAATGGTCCCAGGCACAAGAGGTTGTTTCTGACCTGGACAAAACAGTGAAAAGGCTGTGAAATGTATTCTTTTACTGAGCATCTGTGATGTGACTGATAATCTAATGTGTTCTGGGAATGTTGAGATAAGAGACACAGACTTTTTCAAAATGTAGGGAAGGAAACAGATGAGTAAAATAGTCAATAAAATATGGTCCAGTAAGGTTATGATATATATATGTCATATGTCATTGGGAGATTGGGGGAAAAACACTTCACTCAGATGTGGGGTGTTTGAAGGGCTGAGTCCTCAGATGAGACTTTCTAGGTGAGGATAAATTTTCCAGGTTAAAAAAAGATCAGCAAATAGAGATTCTAGGAGGACGTGGTGTGTTCAAGGGCATCAAGCCATGAAAGGGCTGGTGCTTTGGGAGATACCGCAGGCCAGTCTGGCTGGAGTGCTGAAAACATGTGAGGACAGATTGTGAAATGACTCTGGAGCTTGAAAAGAGGTAAAATCATGAAAGGCCTTTTGTGTCACGCTAAGGGACTTGGATTTCATCCTGAGAGTGAAGAAGAAACCACTGACACGATTTATAGTCAGGTCTCACTCTTTTTCTTTTTCCTCTTATGGCCTTCAGCGGGCGCTAACACTGGTTGGCAGAATGGCCAATTCATAATTTATAGATCAAAGTATGTACTTCTCACAAAATGAATTCAAAAGTGATTAACTTTTTCAATATACTGTGTTATCACATCCTGACTTAATTTGTTTTTCTCCTGGTTTAAAGTATGTTTCTGGATGTACAAAGTAAATCTTTGCATTTTACAAAGATTTTTTTTTAAAGCCAATATAAGGAGACTTCGTGGTCTATTATATATGATAATAAGTTCCAATTGGAAAGAATCTGGTAGTGTTAATAAAGAATCCTTAAAACCAAAGAAGGGACCATGTTTAATGGGAACATTTATAATGCACATATCCCAGTAGCAATTAGAATGGGGGAGGGAGAATCAGCAACAGATCCATGAGAATTTGGCATATGTGGCCTCTAGCTTTACATAGGCTGATAGATTTTCAGTCAAGCTTGAATATGGAAGTCTTGAAAACTCTTTCCTCCATCCTCTGTTTCCTAGAGATTACTCTTTCAAGTGATCTCATCATTGTCAGCCTCTCTGATAAGATCCTAGACCCTGGCTGCAGTTTGACTCCAGAGTACTCTTTCCTTTATATTATCTCCACAGACCTGGCTCTTTTGCAGAAAGAAATTTTTAAATTTGGGACACTGAAAAGAGCACATCAAATACTGAAAACTGTTTCATGAGGATCAAAAGCTTGCTCTCTTTATGCAGCTACTTTTGGTAAATACTGCTTAAATAGTTACTAGGAAGTCTTCAACTGTATTACTAAATGATATTGCAGTGAACATCAAAAATGGGAGGATAGTTCATTTAATCTGAAAAGCTGCATATTTTTATATTATGTATACTGCAGTGCTTGACATAGCTCACTGTTTTTCATTTCCTTGCAACTGCTGGCCTCTTAAATTGCCTTTTTTTTTTTTTTTTATCATGTTTCTGTTACATTCAGGCTCTTTCTTGCTGAGTTATTTTGAAAAAAAAAAGAAAAAACAGTTTTGATCTCAAAGGTACTGATATTAAGATTTATCCATACAATTAAAAAATTTTAAATGTAGGCCTAGAAAGACATTAGAATTGTTCCAGACTTTTTATAGCATCAAATTTCCTCAAGTCTCTACCATTGCTTAAATTTGTCACCCAGCTAATGTGTATGAGGTCAGTAAAATGGAAGTACTGGCATTTCTATTTGATGAAAAGTTCTATTTAATTAATTATATTTGTCCCCATGAAGCCTAATAATGCATCAAGATTGAAAAAAATTATATGTATACAAATATATAAAGAAGATAAATTTATAATATTTATTTTGGGTTAGAACACAATGTTGCCCCATATAAATAACATTTTGATGTGTTAAGAAAGAAAGAAAACAACAGTTAAATAAACCACCAGTTAGATTGAGTGGGAAAGTGTTTCCTTCCTATACCTACCTATGCATTTAATATTTTGGCTTAAATTTGCAATTTATGAATGCAATTTTAGAGAAGGAAAAAACTTCATTTATACTGAGTATGGTAAGAATGTTGTGGGGAAAATTCTAGTTATTGTGACCTTGAGGGGTTAGGCTATTGTAATATGCCACATATTACATATGCCACTCTGTGTACAGTGTAGCAGTAGAATTCCAGCTTTTGAATGAACATGGTTTCAAATGATTGGTCCATATTGGGGCCATCATTTCAATCAGGAATTACCAGCTCTGTATATTCCAAAGGTTATGAGGGGGCCTGTAACATGGCACATTTTCATTTTTTCTTCTGATTCTTATTCTTTCAGAAGTAGCTACCTTTTGACCATTATCAATTTTTAAAAATTGTACTTTGCACGTTTAATCCATTTTTAACCATACAATAATTACACTCGTGTGGTGGTAAAATTATGTGTCGTTGGGGAATGCATATAAAAACTTGATGTTAAACATACCATAGATTCACTCAATTTTTTGATGGGAAATTTTCTGAGCAAAAGCTGTCTAAAAATGGTTCTGATATATCCCAAAGAGGTTATGAATTGCATCATTTACCTAATTAATTTATTCACTCTTGCTCATTCATTCTGTAAGTGAGCATTATGTGAACAAAGAGGCACTACTAGGGCACAAGTACAACAAATACGAGAGATGGAGCCACGAGCATATGCTTCAGGCATTGTGGCCGAGGACAGGCTTCAAAAGACACTCCTACTACAGTCGGAAAAATCTGAGATCAATTATAAGTAACATGCATTGTATTTTAGAACTTTTCTGATATTTCAAAAGAGAAAAGAAATTTTCCAACGGCCTAAACACACAATAATTAGCTAAAACTTAAAATAATAATATAATATCGAACAATTTGGAAATTCCAGCTTACTGTGGTGCATTTATTGCTATCAGTGCTGAGACTGGGAAGCTAACTTGGGAACTTCATTGAAAATATTGGAAATGAAACTGAGACTCTTACATTTGATTCAGATCTACAAAGGCTAGGATAGTTTCATGTCAGTAACAACCTCTGGCTCCAAGCATAAGTAATAAAAAAATCCTAACTGGAGGAAATCTTATTCTTTTTTGCCTCTCAGGGGTCATACAGATTAAACTCAATCAAATGTGAGTTCACATTAAAACTCAAAGCAATAAATGTAATATGTAAACCACCATGAGTGAGTGTTTGCAGAAATAAGAAACGTATTTAGACTCTCAAGGACTTAAGAAATTAAAATTATTATATACAGAATATAAAATAATATATGAAAAGATCAAAGAAATAAAAGCTAAAACACAAAAATGAGCATGGAATAAAAAATTATTTTAAATAATTAAACAGATTTGGAAAAGACCTAAATGGAACTCTCAGAAACCATCATCACTGAAACTAAAAATTCTATGAGTTACTGCACTCCCATTTCATCAGCTAAAATAAAAAATAAAAATAATACCAAACGTTTTGCAAGGATTAAGAGACCCTGGATTTCTTAGACATTTCTGGTGGGAATTTAAAATGATACAGCTACTCTGGAAAAAAGTCTTCATCTTCTTGTAAAATTAAATATGCAATTACTATTTGAAACCCAGCAATCACATTCTTGGACATTTATTCCAGAGAAATGAACTTTTATTCACACAAAAACCTGCCTCCTAACATTTATAGCATTTTTTTTTACTGGAAACAACCCAAATATCCTCCAGTGGGTGAATGGTTAACAGGTTCCAATGCATTCACACAATGGAATACTACTCAGCAATAAAAAGGAACAAACTTTTGCTATAAGCAATAACCTGGATGGATTGTAAGAGCTTTACACTTAGTGAAAAAGTCAAATTTCAAAATATTACAAATTGTATAATTTCATTTATGTAACACTCTTGAAATAACAATAATATAAAAACCTGTAGATATGGAGAACAAATTAATAGTTGCCAGGGGGGCAGAGATAGGGGTAGGATTTGAATATAGGTAGAGTTCTTTCCTATGATGACACTGTTCTGCATCCTGATTGCAGTGGTAGTAACATGAATGAAGTTAGGCTGAAACTGCATAGCACCACAGACACACACACACGCACACACATACACACACGAGAGAGAGAGAGAAATGGACTCAGGTAAAAATGGTGAACAGTGAATAATGTCAGTTATCTATTTAACAGTGTGCAAATGTCAATTTCCTAGAGCGAAACTAGTGAAAATTTCATGGGACTCTGAGTACTTTTGTTGCAACTTCCCATGGATCTAAAACTACATCAAAACTAGAAAAAAAAAAAAAAAAAGCTTAAAGCTAAAATTAAAAAACAACAACAACACACCGAAGTATCAAGACCATAGTTAGACAGCCAATGCTCAGGTAGGATAAAAGCAAAAAAAAAAAAAAAAAAAAAAAGTTTTAAACTGAAAGAGTGAAAGATAGATTTGAAGGAAATAGCCAAAAATAAAGATATATAATATATATATATAAATATATAATATAGAAATATATAATATGAAAGTGGTGCTAAGAGACACGAATGATAGAATAAAAAGGTCTAACATAGACCTAATTGATGAATGGAGGAGAGGCGAAATTTTAAAAAATAGTAATTTATAGTACCAAAAAATGATGAATGATATGAATCCACAGATAGGAGTATTAAAAGGATGCCCATGATGTAGACATGTTATAGAAAAAGTAGAACACCAAAGGAAAGACAGAAAGGGAAAATACTAAAAGCATTCAGAGAAAAGAGAGATCACATAAAAAGCCAAATCATTTAGACCAAGGGTTGCTAAAGAGGGCTGCACATCATAATTTCCATGAGGTTCTTTTGACTATCAAATGCCATACTCACCCCGGTGAAATCATGGTCTTTGGGAGTAGGCCTAGACATAAGAACTTTTAATACTCACCATGTGATTCCAGGGGTTGAGAACCATTAATTTAGCTTGTGAGTAAGCTTTTCTAGTAAATAGGCAAGACTACCAGTGGAATACTATCTTCAAAGTTCTCAGAGAGGCCGAGCATGGTGGCTCATGCCTGTAATCCCAACACTTTGGGATACCGAGGCAGGCAGATCACCTGAGGTCAGGAGTTTGAAACCAGCCAGGCCAACATGATGAAACCTGAAACCCCATCTCTACTAAACATAGAAAAATTAGCCGGGCATGGTGGTGGGTGCCTGTAATCCCAGCTACTTGGGAGGCTGAAGCACAGGAATCTCTTGAACCCAGGAGGTGGAGGTGGCAGTGAGCCGAGATTGTGCCACTGCACTCCAGGTCGGACGACAGAACAAGGCTCTGTCTCAAAAAAAAAAAAAAAAAAAGTTCTCAGAGAAAAAAAAAAATCAATCCAGAATTATATACCAAGCAAAATGAGATTGATATAAAGACATTTTCTGGTAGATAAAAGCAGAGATTGTATCACAAAAGACTTCCACCAAAGGAATTTCTAAAGGATATATTCCAAAAGGAGAAAAATGAGATTCCCAGGATGTTTGATAGTTAAATGAGAATGGTGAGTAAAGAAATTGGCAAGTGTGTAAGCAAATATAACAGGCATTATCCTTAAGAATAAATGATCACGACAACAATAATAATCTCTGTGTGAGGTTTAGAAATGAATATATGCTGAATAATGTTTCATGTAAGTCAGAGGTGGATCAGTGTTAAAGTGTTTTAAAGTACTCAAATCATCTGGATTTGAAGTTGGTTCTCTAATTTTAAGGGCTCGTGTTATTAGATTGGATCCTCCTGGATAAGTCAGGATACTTTCCCCATCTCAAGGGTCGTACCCTTAATCACATCGGCAAAGTCCTTTTTGCAGTGTCACATTTTCCAGGTATCTGGATGTGGATATATTTGGGAGCTATTATTCTGCCTACCACAGGGCCACCTGTCAGAAAGAGAGGGTCAAATTACAGAACACAGGATAATGCAAGTGTTCCCAGGATCTGTCTTAAAGGACTCCAAAATGGGCAAGGTCGTTGTACATTCAATATTTGATAAAATATTGAATGTTCCATATTTTCATATTCAGATAAATTTCACTTTGTCTGAATCAGATTAGTGGTAGGGCAGGGGCTATGAGATGATAGTGGAAATCACATTTCAGATCCTGAATGGCATTATAAGGCACTTTAGAAGTTGACATTTATTCCCAAGGGCAATGGGGAACCTCTTACATATTTTTATGTATCAAGAGGAAGACTAAATTAAGAGTGGAATAGTAGGGTCATCTCTCTGCTTGCTGCTTAGAGAATGCATTGACAGCATAAATCTAGAGGACGGAATTAAGAAATACAGTTTGAAGTTTTAGAGTAGATTAAATGAATGAAGGAATCACCTGAAGAGGCACAGTGGTGTGGCCGATAAAACCCAGGAATCAGAATACTTGGCTTGGATTAGTGGCTGTTTTGCAGTGGATGTTGCTTGATAACTGTTTGAATTCTCTGAGCTGGTGGTTAACTGTTGGCAACTTGTCATCAACTACAGGGGGAGTATTTGTACCGGAAAATCTGCAAATGCTCTCCCACTCTTCCCCCAGAGCCAGAAGCCTCCGCAAGCTAGTGGTGGTGTGATATTGAAAAAAATAAAACCCTCAAATCCTCCATCCTCGATACAGGGAAGCTAGCATCAGTGAGGCTCACTTCATAAGGTTGTTTTAAGGTTCAAAATGAAAATAGGTAGTATGCATGAGGAAGCAAGGTGATGAGAAGTTGCTGAATTTTGTTTTGATGCTTTTGCCAAGTATTGTTACTAGTAGGGTTCTATAAACAGAACCTAAGTCAAATTACCTGTTTAACAATTTTCAGTAGGTCAAATGTGCTCTCATTACTAGAGTATGATTCACTTGGATTATTACAAATAGAAATGTAAATACCTATGTAAAAGAACATATATTCCTCATATGCAAGTGTATACATATACGTCCAGGCATGCACACAACACACACACATACACACATACACAGGGAGTTAAGGTGACATACAAATGTCTTTTTATCTTTCAAGTTTATACCCAAAGACATTGGAAAAGGGAGACAGATGAAGATGAGAATGTCAGTGTCATTTTCCTGAACTCATTGGAAAATTAGGTTTTAGCTCTTTGGCCAAAGGTGTTTGCTGACTCCACGCCTGACACAGACCGAAACACTAACTGATCTCAATTTCAGGCAATGCTAGAAAACCACAGTTCTCCCCAACATGAACAAAGCCTAATCCCATGTGCACAGCAGGATGGTTTTAAAAGATGCCATTTTGTTGTTGTTGTTGTTAGCAAGCTGATTCTAAAAGACAAAGAGAAAAAATAGAGTACCAAAATACCCATGCAGGGTTTCTTCCCCTAAAGGCAGCAGTTGTATGGGAAGCATTCCTGCCTCTCTGGGGAAGAGTGAGCCCGGAAGAGGGATCAGGGTTCTAATTCCATGGTTCAGTGCTAGCTAAGGGGACCTCATACCTCTAGAAGGCTCCTAGTAATAGCGAAAAGGGAGGATTTATATGATTGAAGAGAAGAACAATAACAACAGTACTGTGGTACTATTAATTTATTTTTAGGAATTACATTACTTTTTTACATTACTGTAGGAATCCATATACATGCTAGTAGTAATACTTCAACTAGATGGAAACATGAGAAATGGGGACATTCACACAATGGTGGTAAGAGAGTGAATGGATCCCAACTTTTGCAAAATAAAAATAGCACCGTGCCGTAAAACCAAAAATGTGCTTTCTCCTTTATTTAGTAATCTCAGTTATAGGAGCTTAATTTATATTTAAAGAGCAAATAAACACTAAAGGAAGACATGATACTTGCACATTTGTATAACTGGGGTGGAGGGAGCACATGGGCTACAAAATGTAGAAAAATCTTATACATCAAGCATAATTTTGGCCTTGAACAGTAATGCCATTGTTTAGCTCTGAATTTCTTTTATACCTTGAGTCCCGCTATAGAATTTTTGCTATTGTTCTTTCATCTGTAGGTCCCTTCTCTACAAGGAATAATCAGGATTCCAGGAACTACTCATATACTCAAAATTTTTGAAATGAGTTTTATGTCTTGGCCACATCTCCTTGATATCCTTCAGCAAGAAATATGTGGTTATAAAATCAAATGGGAAAAAACGACTGCAATGGTGGAAAAGGTTTTATTGTCAGATACACTAAAACACTTTGGATATGAATGTTATGTTTAATTGATATAAAAGTCTAAACACTTACCCACTGTGCTGTGATTATGGCCAGGGTCATTCTTCAGAGCTAATTCATTTAGAATATGTTAAGAAAAATCCTGTAAGCATCAGTAATTGAGGAAAATTGAACTCTTGAACTTTTGCCAGATATTTGGCTGTATGCATTTTATGTGTTAACTGAGAAGAAGCTGACAACTTGCTACATTCTGAAATCGTCTCAGTTGAGATTTGGGTTGCAGGAGACATTAGCCATTAGCCCAACTGCAGGGCTATTCACTGTGGCCGTATCATACCAGTGCTCAGGAGACAGCAGTCACACCTAAGAAGTATGTCCTTCCTCACCTGGACTGCTCTCATAGCAAAGCCACCTGAACATCCCTCGTTGTTTTACCAACCAGATTCATCATCTGCTTCCTGATTCGGCAACGAGCATCACCTGTTACCTGAGGGAGTCCATCCTTGTAAGAATAAGAAACTTGACTAAGCAAAGTTAGCATGTGGTTGCGTCTTCAAAGAGCACAAACGATCTTGTGAAGGCGATTGTTTGGATACCAAGAAAGATAAAGATCTCTTTCTATCTTTAGTGATAGCACCCATAGGTGAATAGAAGGAAGGAGGCTCCGTCTTAGCCGGGAGGAAACTCACTTGTTCAACATCACTGGAACTTCTAAGTTGAAGTGGAAAAGGGAGCATGTGATTTTCAACACTTCCAACACTTCCAAGAGTAGCATGTTTCCATAGTCATGCATAATCTCAGTCTGATTTGAGGCTAAGAAAATATTAAAAGTTTCCAACTCTTAAAAAGTATAGGAGTCCCACGGCCTGGACACATAGTAAAACACTTAATAAACACTTTAGATTTTTTTTTCCAAGGAAGCAGATTACGTCTTGAAACACCCTTTACTCTCAGGCCAGTATGGTACGGTCAGTAAGAGGTATCAAGTAAAATTAATTATTGAAGAAAATTCTTCATTCTAGAGTCTAAATAATTTCTCCTGAGATAATCTTTTTCCACAGTTATTTTATTATAATGGGATTACCCTAATAGTCTTTGCTAAAAGAGCTGAGATACATAAAATTATTTTTTCATAGTATAGAGTTCTAAATCTTTATGTCCTTATTTTATTTATTAATATTATTATTAATATTATTATTTTTGGAAAGAGAGTCTCACTGTGTTTTCCAGGCTGGAGTGCAGTGGCATAATCTCGGCTCACTGCAACCTCTGCCTCCCAGATTCAAGCTATTCTCCTGCCTCAGCCCACCGAGTAGCTGGGACTACAGGTATGCACCACCATGCCTCGCTAATTGTTTTGCATTTTTAGTAGAGATGGGGTCTCACCATGTTGACCAGGCTGGTCTCGAACTCCTGACCTCATGCGATCCACCCACTCGGCCTACCAAAGTGCTGGGATTACAGGTGTGAGCCACCGCACCCAGCCACCTTTTTTATTTTCTTTAAAAATCAAAACAGAACATATTTGACTTAGGCCTTTATCAGACAGAGAGAAGGATGCACATACCTAAGCTGGTAAATAATTATGTCATCCTCATTTACAGTATAGGAACTTTCTCCGTAATTATTGTACTTTGAGGATTAATTTTCCATATCTCATGTGTGTTCCTTAAGATTTCCACCTCATACCTTTTTTTTTTTTCAGCTAAAGCATAAATGTATTGACTCAATCTCAGTTTAAGAAGTAGGGTCAACAGAGCCTTAGGACCATCTCCTGGTGGCTAACCATGAATTGTTTCCTTTCATGATTTTTTTAAGCACATGTTGAGTTAGATGCCAAGATTCTGAAACCAGATGGAGCTGACTCAATGAGCTTCCATTTATGTTCCAGCATGCCAGCATTAGCTGGGTTCCAGCAGATACTTAAGTAATGAGATTTGAGCAACATCTTCCCCAAAGTATTATCTTCTTTAGCCTATTGTAGTTTATGAAATTTGGGGGATTAAAATCTGGCTTAGAGAGAGTAGGTCACTTCAATTCTCAAAGCCTTCATTTTCTTATCTATAAAATGAAAATAACAAAACCTACTTCATAAGGTCTAGTAATGATTACATTAGAACATCTGGTAGAAGAAGCCAGGCAAAGTGACTACATGCTGTGTTATTTCTTTTATGTGACATTACTGAAAAGACAAAACCTTAGGAAAATATTAGATCCATATTTGCCAGTGATTGGTAGTGGGAACAGCAGACTGACTAAAAAGGGGCACAAGGGAAATTCGAGGAGTGATATGCTTTTTGTCTATCTTAATTGTTATGGTAGTTACACAACTATTTACATTGTCAAAACTCATCACGGACTTTTAGTTTATACAAATTATAACTCAGCAGGCCTGACTTTTTAAATGAACACTCATCACGGACTTTTAGTTTATACAAATTATAACTCAACAGACCTGACTTTTTAAATGAACACTCATCACGGACTTTTAGTTTATACAAATTATAACTCAACAGGCCTGACTTTTTAAATGAACATATGTAATGGGTTTCACACACAATGCAGACTCAATAAACAAGCCCTGCTCACAACTTCTCTCAAAGGAGCCAAGCACAACAGGTACTTAAATTAATGTCCTTTACATTGAAAGGTATTATATAAAACCAAAGCAAGCATTTTCCATTTTTAACACATTTCTAAGGCTTTTGCATTTCCATAAAGAAGGCAGTGATGACTCATGATGTGATTTTAAGAATCTGAACTTACTAAGGTCCCTTGAAAGTAACCACAAAAAGGCTAGATCTAAAATATATTAAAATCCATATACAATTAATTGTAGAGTGATTCATATAGATACAGTCTCTATTTTGTATTGCTTCTTTTTTAAATAGTTATCTGCTAGTGAACAAAAAAATAAATATATACTTTTTGATATTTCAAATAGATATCAAAAAGTATATATTTATAGCTTTTGAAGTATAACTTTTAAACTTTATCAAATATAAAAGTATATATTCTATTTGATATATAGGTATGTGTATGTATATATGTATATTTATTTGATATATATGTATTTGAATAGAAATAGAAAGTGAATACTAGTAACCTGATGGCTAAGAACGATCACATATTTATATGTATTCATTCAACACATGCACTGTGGGTTGTATTCTGTGCCAGGAGATGAGGATGCAGGGATGAATAAATAGTATTTCTGTCCTCAAGAAGCTCATACTTTATAGTGATTTAGAGACATGTATGATGAAATTGACACTCTAATGTGAGTCTGAACAATTTTTAGGCAAGCAAATGCTCTTCATGCACTACATTCCATAACCAACCTATGCACAGCAGTAAGTGGAGTCTTTGGGGCTTGGTTTTTGTTACCACGTTTGTTACAGAATGCCATATTTGGACCTATGACAAAAAAAAAAGTAATCTTAAGTCAGGCTTGCTTATTGGAGAATAAAATAGAATCATGAGGTAGGAGATTTGGAGGGACTCTGTTACAGTCAAATAATTTTATTTTAAGGAAAGCAGATTTACTCCTTAACACTATCTTAAAATCAGGAGAAAATGTAAGAAACTTTCATAAAATATTTAATATAGTTTCAAAGTTGTGAGCGTATCACTGTTCAGAAGTTAACTGCAAAACAGAGATGACTATATTTGCCATAATTATCAATAATGATGTATATATATATATATACTCTATAGTTACACTGGGATGAGCATTAATGGATTGGTAATGAATGAACAACAGCAATGATTCAACAACATTAGTTGGCTAAAGCTTCACAAGAATAAGGAAAACACAGCAGGAACCTTATAGAGGTAAGTGAAGCATGAAATTCAGTTACGTCTTTGACCTAATAGCATTAGGTCAAAGCCTTTCAACTTTATCTCTTTACTAATTATGGAACGAACCCTGTTTAAACTCTTCATACCATATAATTCTCTAAGCAATTCTTAGTGGTAGTTATTATTATTCACATTTTAGCGATGAGAAAATTGAAATCCAGATAGATCAAGTGACTTATCTAAGATAACCCAACCAGTAAGTGGCAGAGATGGAATTTGACCTCAGCCAATCTGGGTCCTGGTCCCCACCCTTGACTCTGTATGATACAGTGTTACAACAAGAGCATGGGTAGAGATGCAATTAGAAGGTAAGAATTATATCTGCAAAATCTTGATTAGTCCTAACAATAATAATGTAGTCACTACTGTTAACCCAACTTGATGCAGGCTAATAGCTAAAGGTCATAAAGTGTCCAAAGAAAGATTTAGTAGTAAGTACAATATCCCAGGAGAATCTACCTCCAGAGTGCAAGTCGTTATACTACTCAAGTTGATATCTTCCAATGTAGGTGTCTAAAAGCCCTTTCTAGTTCTGAATTTCACTGATTCTAAAAGGGAGTTTGTGGTTAGTATAGCTGGTGGGGGTAGACTTACATTGCTGCCAAGTGCAGAAATACACTAAAGCCATGCACAGCAACTCAAGGGTCAGCATTTTTGTCCCACTTCTGGGCATCCTGAAAATCCTTTCTTCTTTGAGCTTCCTCAAAATCTTGTATAAACTGGGCTTAAACTAGGTAGATCTCAGCTGGAGGGAAAGTTCTAGCAGGCTGAGGAAGCCTAGAAAGTTTGCATTCTCTAAGCAATGTTAGCATGAACTCTTTGTACTCATTACTTCTTAGTATATGGCAGCAGCTTCAGAAAGGTGAGTCAGGAAACATTCACATTCCCAACAATTAGAATGTCACCACTCTTTGTTCATTCTTTTGAATTATAGTCAAGAAGTGTCTTATTAATTCAACACAATGCATAAATATATCTTGAGTATCTCCAATGAATCATGTACTGTTCAAGCCTCTGGCAATACAAACAATAAAAGACACTCCTACGTCTCAAGGAACTATCACTTTGGGTGACAGAGAGAGACATCTAAACAAATATACTTACAATGTTGGTAATACATTCATGGAGGCACATGGGAAGGACCCAGAAGCAGAGGAGGTTCACTGTGCTTGGATGCAGATAGCAGGAGTTAATATGGAAGAAGTCAAGAATGTCTTCCCAGAGATGGTGAAAAACAAAATGAGTTTTGAAGATATGATGGGAAAATACACTGATTTTTAGATATAGCTCTAGATAAAAATAAAGAGACAAAGTGTTACAGGTAAAATTAGCTGCAGATACATCTTAGTTGTCATGTAGTTGATCCAATTGAGTGAACAATTGAACAACAATTAGAACACAAACAAACCTCCATGATCTGAGGCCTGCTGAACTCTCTTTTCTGACAGCCCTTCCCACTGCACATTGGATATAGAATGATGCCATGGCATTCCATGCATCCATGCCTTTGAACACACTATCTCCTCTGCTTGAATGACCTTTGCTGCTTATGTAGAAGGAAAAAACAGTTACATTCATACCTAAGGTTCCAGAGCTTCCAAGACCTTGTCAAAGAAAATAGACTCCTAGCTTTTCTCTACTGAATGCAATCTCCGTTATCAGGCCATAAGCTCCTTAGGAGCTAGCGCTAGATCTGAGTGAACACTGCCAGTAGTGTGATGAATTTGGCTTTTATAGGCTCAAAAGAAATATTGTTAAATGTACAACATTTTTTGAGCCATTTGTTAAATTTTTGGCAGCTTGAAGTCATCTATGGTGGGAGCTGACAAACACTACATTAAAAAAAGATCAAAAAATTTGTTGGATAAATTACATTAGAGTAATTTTTAAAGTCACATATTCAAGTTGTAGTGATTTAAATTAAATAAAGTTAGTGCAGATTATAAGAATTGATGAGTATTGAATTGATGAGTATTGGAAAAGGGGATGAGTGGAGACACCTCTCTGAGCAGTGTGAGTTTTGAAAAGGAAATCAAATTATTAGAGAAGATAATGGTAGCCAAAAAGACTTTCTAAGGATCAGTGTTCTCATAATTAAAAAAAAGAAGGCATAAGAATTTCTGCCAAACATACTTTTTCAAAAATAAAAAAGATATATGAAAATGTTTTATAAACCATGTAGTACATAACTATATAATATATACATTATATAGTGTATAGTTGCAATTATTGGACTAAAAGCAGTTAATACAGGCTTTACATATGTTAAGACTTTTATTCAGAAGTAAATGAAATGTACTCTTTGAGAATGGGTATATTTTATTGTTTTTTATAACCATATTCTCATTTATTTTTGAAACTCTTCTTAGAATAAGAAAAGAGTACAGGAAGACCAACAAGTCACATTCAAACCTTATAATTCTGCAGCCTAGGAAACACTGTCTTGTGCTGGAAATGGCTTCCTTTCTTCCTGGTCCAACTTTTTTGAACTGCCCATGGATTTTGCACTGTACAAATCACAATCCTTAGAAATATATTACCCACATACATTTCTGAAGAGGGTTTTCAGGGCCCTTTTTTGAGTATTACTTTTGGATATATTATTCCTACTAAATTATATTTCTTCCAGAAAAAGTTTTGAAAAGTTGGCAACCTCCCTATTTCAGTCCTTCATATTATGCCACTTGTTACAGTCATAAACAGCAAGGAAAGAAGGAAGTTTGACCAAATGCAAATGGCTGGGAAGAAGTAGCCCTTTCAGAGTTGCTGAATGTCTCGTGTGAAAATGCTTTGTGGCTGAGCTTAAGAAATAAATATAAAGTAGTATTTAAATCCTCATCTCAAAGCTTCTATCAGTAATAGATATGAAGCCCAAAGCAGTAAATGTTTAAATGACTACTTTACATCTCTTAAATGCAGTGTTATGTCCTGGCTATATGGTAATGACATCATTAAACAGAAATCCTTTGAGCCGCAGAACCAAGATGCTTTATAGTAAGTTCTATGAAGTTACATAGTCAAAGAGTTCACTGTTCTTTAAGTTAGACTCATATCCGCAATTTTATGACAGGTTCTGCTTAAATAATTGTAGGGTAGTGGTAAAGCATGGACTTTAGGGTCAATAATCTGAAGATCTAAATTTGAATTTGTCGTGTCTTTCATTAGTTAGCTGACATTCTGGATTTCAGTTTCAAGACCTTTAAAATGGGAATAATAGCAATCATCTTAAACATGTCCAAGAAAGAGTGAGACAATTAAATAAATACATTACTAAGAAGGGCTATAAATGAAATGTTATTATAGGTATTAGCATCATCATTATCATTCATTACCCTAATCATTATCATCTTTAAGCAATATTAAGGGATGACACTTACAGATAGACTGAGTCTTACTCTCTGGGTCAAGAAGGTTATTTCAAAATGCAAGTTACTAAAGTATATTATATATGCAAAACATTTGGCTTATTAAAACTCAAGTGTCATGGCTCATAGCCGAGACCTGCACTTTCATATAAATGTGATTTGATCATATGTATCATATTCAAAAATATCTATTAGTCCTATAACGTTAGCCACAGTGGCTAATTTCTATAATAGCTTCACATTTTAGTTACTTACCAACATAAATATTTATTTCTTATTTATGTTACAGTAAACTTAAGTTTGCTTGGGTGGAAGGTTGTCTCTTTTTCACGCAATTATTTAGAGTTCCAGGCTTCATCCATCTAATGGCTTTGTTAAAGTCTAGAGTCTTGGAGTGTACCACTGACTCCGTTAATCTGACCGGCAGATAAAATAGTAAAGAAATCATGGAAGCTTGCAAGGAAAGTACATGAACCAGGCCTGGAAGTGGTATATACCACTTCCATGAAAAATCCTACTGGTTTAAAATCGGTCGCATGACTGCACCTAATTGCAAAGGAAGCCAGAAAATGTAGTCCACCTATATGCTCTGATGGAAGATAAAATGGATTTGATGAGTCTTGCCAGCCTCTGCCATAGGGTTCTAGCATATTACAATAAATTATGAATTTAATTGACCGAAAGACAAAGCGCAACTTAATGGTGTCACAATCCCATGTTAGTTATAAAAAATAATGTATAATCTATTCTCCCCTTTATGGTTACTGTAAAAATTAGTAGCACCCTAGTTAATTCAATGCCAGAAAGCAGCTGTCTTGAGAGTTCATGGTCTTAAGCTTTACATGCCTGGGCTCTATTTTTGGTCCAGTGGAGTTGGTACCTCTGGGGCCTGAGTAATCCCGTGTTGCAGCAGACAGAGTTCCTCTGCTGCAGTCAGGCCTTCTCATCAGTGTATACCCCTGTGAAACTTCCAGACTACACAGAATAACCTGGCTTTCTCTCCTGGATGTGGATGTGGACACTAAATGCTCTTCATCTGAACGAAGAGGTTTGTGTTTCATAAAGATTAAGCTAACTATGAGGAAAAAACAGGCAACCAGACTCTTCTGAGATTTTCTGTCTGCATATAGACATCAATATAAACATAGGTATATGTTTGTTCAGTATGGCTTTTATTATTAACAGAACAAGAGCCAGCTCCCTGAGAGCTACCCAAGGTCCTAAACCACCTCTGATCAAAGTTATCTCATATCTAGGGTAGCAGAGGACTCCTGATTTTTCAGAGGACCTATTCCCGTCATATCTTATAAAATGTAATGATTGACTTCTTACATACAAGCTGCTAATTTTGATATGGTCTAAGCTGATATCAGTTTACGCTGAGGACTTTTTCATATCCCAACATAACTTGACCTTTCATCCCATTTGATTGCATGGTCTGTTCATGACCAGCCCTGACCTGTGATAACCCTCCTTTATAATATTCTGGTGTTAAGGATGCCCAACCTTGCGCTAAAGTAACCTGATAGACCCAGAAATGCTGCCAGTACAGCTATTTTATCAGGTGGGATTTAGATATTTATGCTTCTGTGATCATGTTTATCAAAAATTCCAAAAACATTTTCTCATGAGGATAACATAAGAAAGGAGGGAAGGGGCTGAGCACGGTGGCTCACGCCTGTCATCCCAGCACTTTGGGAGGCCAAGGCGGGCGGATCACGAGGTCAGGAGATCGAGACCATCCTGGCTAACATGGTGAAACCCCATCTCTACTAAAAATACAAAAAATAAGCCGGGTGTGGTGGTGGTCGCCTGTAGTCCCAGCTACTCGGGAGGCTGAGGCAGGAGAATGGTGTGAACCCGGGAGGCGTAGCTTGCAGTGAGCCGAGATTGCACCACTGCACTCCAGCCTGGGTGACAAAGCGAGACTGCGTCTCAAAAAAGAAAGGAGGGAAAGGAGGGAAGGAAAAGAGGGATGATTGATTTTCCCTGCCTTACTCACAGGATCAAATATGATAATGCAGACAAAACTGTTGTGATGATATAGAGTATTTTTGTCATCTAACTCATCTAACTCCATCAAATAATAGGATAGCTTGGTTTTGAGAAAACAAGTGACAAATTATCATACTTATTTTTCTCATGAAATATCCTTCATGTGTGATCTTTATATTCTTTGGAAAATCTAAAAGACTTACAGTTAGTCAAAGTAAGCACCAACCTAAGTTCCAATCTAATTTCAGAAGTCTGAATCATTATTTTAATTCTTTAGGGTACTGGAAGGAATTTAGGTTCAAGATAGCTGTGAACAATGTGTTTATATAGTAAAACAAGATTTATTTATTTGTTATCACTAAATTCCATTTAAATTTTACAATAGCTATTATTACAATAACACACTATTAAATTACAACTGCATTTATGTAGATACAACATTCCTCAAAAATGTTGTTTGGTATTTAAAGGGCATTATTATGATTATCAGAAAGAAATTTTGTTAAATTGCATTTAAGATATCTTAAATGTTTATCTAGTTGATTGGTTGATTTATTGACATGAGTAGAATATTTTAAATTAGTAGGCTACCTAGTTAAATTAATGAATTTTTATCTTTAGTATCATGAATGAAAATGTTGCACATGTTGAGAATGAATATGAGACAGTCTTTAAGTCAAGAGCATTACAATCTGATTGGGAAGATTATTCTATTGAATATCATTTGTCAGTTACTGTGAATAGAATGGTGAATGAGACATTTAATTTGCATGTACTTGTCATATCTTTCCTACTAGGATATAAGCTTCAAGTTTCAGAAGATGAGAAATGTGTTTAACATCTCCCTCTCTCTCTTTTTGTACAGCTCTTGATTGTCACAAAGTCCGATGTGCTTGTAGTTAGCAAAAATAGTTGGATAAGATAAATAAATGAATGAATAAATACACAATAACATTTTGTAGAGAGGATGTAATAGATCCTAGGAACTTCCATTTAACCTGTGAAATCTCTCCACACATACAGTTCAGAGGCAAAATGTTCTGGTTTTCTAAATCCTCGTGATCACATCACTGTTGTCAGTTTGCCTTAAAGAAAAAGTTGGAAAAGCTCATAGAGGCTAGTTGCTTTTAGCTGTGAATCTCCAAATACTTGAACATTTCAGAATGAAGCCAAACACTGTTTAAAATATCAGCAAGTGGTTATCCATGGATGGTGGGATTCACGGCTTAATGTTTGTTTATGTTTTCATTTATTTATTATTCTTTTGCAGAGGGGCACAGATAGATCCATTATTTGTGACACATGGTACAGGCATTTGAAAAGATTCATTGATAGCAACATCACAGCAAGTAATACAGAAGTCCATATTGTTTTTCCATCAAGAGTTATGCTGAAACTAGCAGAGCTTATGCTATGAAAAGCCCCCTGGTAGAGAACCTCTTCACCCTAACAGCCTACATATGTGGGAAAGGGAAGCAGGGCATATCTAGATGAGTATATAATTGGGGGAGCATCTTGAGAAAGACAATGATCTTTTTCAAAAGGGCCAAGCCTCGTGATCTCAGCCTCTGGTATCTGCCTGTTCTTCCAATGAGTTCTCTCAGGTCTGCAGAGCTAGCTGCTTGCTCATTTATTGAAAAGGACTGGAAGGAGCGTCCAGGGCCATCTGCATTTGTCTCTCCTCACATGCATCTTCTAAATTTTCCACAATCATCATGTTCGTAATAAAAACATATAAGGTGTTTTTTGTTTTTACAAGGTAAATTAAATTGTGTATGATATTTTTTATTCTTTAAATGTCGTACACAAATGCATCATCGCACTTTAGCCTTAATTGGCCAACCCTGGGTATTATCCTGACTAACAATGGAAGAAATTAAAGAATCATGAGTCTTCAAAGTCAGCTTTTGAAGCCAGCCTCAACCTACTTAATTACAGTTGTGCGTGTGTGTGCATGTACGTTGCATATTTTTTAATGGAATCTTCATACTAGTCATGAGAATGGATAGTCTTCTATTTTTCTTTTAATTTTGCGTATAAGGAGAGATGGAGATTATGATAGAATAAACAAGTTGCTGAATGAAGGACACACAGTTAAGAAGTGACTTAGTCTTACCTCCAGTGAAACCTGTGGAATATATATATATATATATGGAATATATATACACATATATGTATACTGAACTTTGCAACAATTTACTTGATTTACATTTGGCTCTTTTACAAAAAGTCAGAGTGAGAAAGAGAAAATTCCATAGAATTAGAATATTCTAATTCTAATTTATACAAACTATCATGGGTTTATAGCATCTGAAGGCACCCATTTGAGTAGGGGGGTGTTACATTGACTAATATTGACCTATTTCTGAGAAGACATGAAAGTTAAAGGGTCAATTGAGTGTTGTTGTTTTCAAGACCAGTTTAGCTCCTCTTTTCATTTTATAGTCACATTTAGGAATTCATAGCATTCAAAGCCATGATAAACAGATTATGCAAAAGTAAGTAAGTGGATAGTGACTATAGTTGCATTTTATGTTAACTGCATCCTTAAAATAAACATTAGCATATCACAGCTTTTCTAGAGAATAATTTCAGTGATTTCAAATTAGCTTGTTTCAGTAATTTCACATAATGCAACCCACAGAGTGCAGTGAAAAGAACAGAGTGAGGACCACCAGACCTCAGCTTAAAAACACTCCTCAGCTTTTTGTTACAAAAAGAGGCAGGTAGTGTAATTCTTCCTTGTAATTTCTACCATTCAGTGCCTATGTAATAATAAAATGAGAAAGAATTGATAGAATATGCTAATCCAAAAACATAAACCATTATCTTTATAAGGAAAATTAAAATACAGATTAGAAACAAAAAATATCTCTGAACAAAGTCATTAAAATTAAAAACTAATTTAACAAGGGTTTAAAGATATGTAATGATATAGTATAAAAGCTAAATTAAAGTATCTAAAAGTAAACAAGTGTTGAAAAGATCTGTAACTCACTTATTGGAAATATAAAACTGCATCAAAGCGAAAATAGTGTAAATAGCTAATAGAAAAAGGAAAGGTGCTTAAAGAAATGTAACCTAGAAACAAATGATAAATAAAATGACAGCAAATATGCATCAGAATTAAAATACAAACAAAAATAGTTGAAATTCGAAGGTAACTATTTTCTGTACTTTCCATCTCTTAACACATTTTCACCCTCTGTAGGGTCAAAGACAGAACAGATATAAGAAGAGTGCGTTAAAACAATTTACCTGTTCTCATAGAGACAGGAAACAGTTATTAAATAACTAAACATATAAACATAAAATATTTGCATTTTATACTTGTTTTATGTAACTTAAACTGTTTCCCATCTGCCTGGCATGGTGGCGCACATCTGTAATTCCAGCACTTTGACAGGCCAAGAAGGGCAGATCATTTGAGCCCAGGAGTTTGAGACCAGCCTGGACAACATGACGAAAACCCATCTCTAAAAATGCAAAAATTAGCCGGGTGAGGTGGCGCACACCTGTGATCCCAGCTACTTGGAGGGCTGAGGTGGGAGGATTGCTTGAGCCCAGGAGGTCTAGGCTGCAGTGAGCTGTGTTTGCGTCACTGCACTCCAGTCTGGGTGACAGAATAAGACGCTCTCTCTCTCTCCTCCCTCCCCCTATATATATTCCCCATCCTACCTCTTGCTCTAGTCACTGCTGTAGTGATCAGTTTTTCCCCTAGACAGAGCCTCCTTTTGTGCTCTGTAAATCCTCCAATGACCCATTTCTGCCTCCTGCCTTGGGGTTTCTGTAAGGCTGTGGCAAGTAATGCCAGAAAAACCTGACCTGCGCATGTACAACCAAAACCAGAAGCACAAGGGAGTTAATGCCTGTGAGGCTATCCTTGAGCAGTGGGGGTTGGGACCTGATGTGAAAAATCTGAAATATAGTATATGCAGGTTCACAGAAGTCCCATTGGGATCAAGAACCTCCTGTAGTGTCGACTAACCTGATCAAATAACACTATTTTGGCTTTCTTCCCATTCATTTTTGACTCCCTCAGCTATCACTCACTTTATAGATAAAGTTCAGAGTTCAAACAAGTTATGTAACTTACTCAAGGTCACCCTATTTGTAAGAAACAACAGCATCTGTCCTCAATGCCTTCCTTTAGAACTGAAGGCACTTAAAAATATTTTCTACTTTTACCTCTTTAAAAAGAGGTAGGTTTAAAAACCTGCCTTCTGTTCTTTCTCCCCATTCAGTGACTTCAAGGTATGCATGCCCCTGTCTGATGTGAAGATGTCACTGGCGACTGCCTATTACATAAAACCTTCTCAAATATGTTCCTATAAAAAATATTATTCCAGAGAGCACATGGTTGATCCAAACGGGCTAATCTCTAATGCTGGAATTCTAGGTTTCTTTGTTCCTGAAATTGGTCAAGTCTTTTCCCCCCAATATCCATAACCATAATATGCAGTTTGTCACTCAGGGAACTCCACACAGGCACCTATCACAGTTTCCTGGTAATAAAAATTAAGAATATAGTTGCTCCCATCTTGGGTTGGTTTCAAGTACATCAATAGAACAACTTATAGAACTGTCATATTTTAGAGAAAATTGCAGAAAGCAGTGTTTCCAGTCATTTGCTAACTGAGCTAGAAATTATAATGGCATGCCAAATTAGACTGAGCTGTAAAAGGAAGATATTCACATTACTCTTCTCTGCCCTCACAGTATGCATAAGACACTGAGAGGCCTGCAATTCTTATTCTCTTAACTAAACGTTTTTCAAGTCTTCCCCATTCTGGGTGTTGTATTTTGCTCCATTTATTTTGCCTTGCATCCAGTCACCTTGCAGCTGTAATAACTTGTTGGCTCTCTAGGGAAAGTGGGGTTGGAGTCCTTTCTGGTCACCGGATGGTTGAAGGATGTGCACGGCTGAACTGTTTACCCACACCTCATCCCTCCTCCTGTTCTATTTTTGAGAACTGTGTGTTTCATAATTTTAATAAAAATAGAGATCACACTGTTTATTTGGCAGAGGCGATGAGAATAGGGCATGCTTTGCTGGATTTTTTTTTTTTCTTGAAATTTTCCTTCTCACACTGCTGCCCGGTCTAAGGTGAGAAGTGGCTGTTTCTATGTCTTACTGTCTTAGGTGTCCCTCTGCCTGCTGTCACATAAGCTGTTTCTGGCAGCTCTGCCTGTGACCAATTCTGCTGTCTCCTGCTGGGAGGCTGACACCTAACTGGACCCTTTGTTTTCCAGAGTGGAAAGAACCTGGTTTATGCAGGCAAGAAGATAGTATCCTGAGAATGAAAAGTTAGATACTGTCTTTGAGCCATGTGAAGTGCAAAAAGACACAAACAGTGAACAGCTCGTTAAATTAGGAAATCTAAAACACAGGCCTCAAATGAGAAGCATTTGTGTCCCCAAATCTCAACTCCTATGCTCAGGAGTTTCACTGAAGATTTACTGTAGAGGCAATGTAGAGGGGCCCTGGGAGTTTAACAATGAATATAATGTAGCCCCACCCTGGAAACAGACAGTCTAAGGGGGAGCTGAAGACTTTGTACAATAGATTTTAAATTCAGAATTTATTGTATTTTATTAATTAGTTTTGGGGTCTAGTTATTCCACGTTAACCTGTAAAAGTTGCCTTGAACTATAAAGAGGTTAAATAAACAACTAAGAGGAGTAACATAAAATCTGTATTCTGGCAGCAATGGAAATGTGGAAGAAGGTAATCACATTTTCTTTTCCTGACCTCCAGACCAAGAAGTAAGATTTAAAAATGGCTTGTTTCAGCACACACAGCCCCGTTTTCATTTTCACCTATCTCTGGCCTTCTTATGCCAATACCTCGTGCCCAGATACTCCTATTTGGAGAACAAGAGCAGCAGCTTAATCAGATAAAAGTAATATTTTTCTTCTTCTTTCTAGCAAAACTTAGATTCTCATAGAGCAGAGTCTCTCAGCTGTGTATTAGGGAAGAAATCAACTGATTAAGCTAAATTATTCTATAGTGTGAATGACTGATAGAATTTTTGTTCTAGAAACATTAGTGTTTTAAATATAAGCCTTCCTTTAACTATTTACCTTAATGATTTGTGTTTGGTGCAACTTACTTCTTTAGAAGGACACATATTCTCAAGGACTCCTAAAAACACATCTTTGCACCCTCCAGGGTAGGAGAATAATGGATGGAGAAACATTGCTCTGCCTCAGTGATTTTCGAGAAGCGAGAGAAAGGTGTCTGCCCAGATGGTGAGGCATTTTGAAATGGAGCCATGGTGTATTTTGAAAAGAATTACAGCAATACTGAAGTGTAACATCGTGTGTAGAAAATGAAGCACAGATATCCACAATTCTACGATCCAGATTCTCTAAAGTAAAATTTTACTTTAAAAAGTCATTGTGAATATGTAAAAAATACAGAAATTATCAGGTAGAAAAATGTCTCATTAGGAGCTCATCCAGAACCTCCAGGTGTTTTAATCGTATTAAAAGTAATATAAACCAGTATTGAGCACTGATCTGGTTACTGGTAATTTAGTTCATATCAAAGTGAAGTAAAGCAAATAAGCAAAACAACCAAAGCAGTGTGGTGTTCTGGTCAAAAAAGCCACCTGGGCCAGCGCTGGCTGGGCCTCTGGAAAATTGGGAATCCATGGGCTCTCCATCATTGTATAGCTGCTGCCCTCAACCATTCTAATCACACAATTGGAACAATCCCGACCCCTCCCCTGGTGTCCACGGTGCTTATTCCGCAGCATATTGAGCCTCTCTGTGCCAGACACGGTTTTAGGAACTGGGGATACATCCTCCTCTCTCTCATGGGGTTCACATTTGAACCACAGGAGACAGACAAAAAGGAGTGTCAGATGCTGATACGCATTGGGAAGAAAACTTAAGAAACAGTGATGTCATAGAAAATGACTGGGGTAGGGTAGGGGATTATTTTATTTGGCTGGTGGTTGGAGAACTCTGAAGAGGTAACATCTGAGCCCAGGTTAAATGACAAGTTTCCAGCCTTGCAAATATCAGAAGAAAGAGCATTCCTGGCAGAGAGAACATCAAGTGCAAAACCATGGGGGCAGGAATGAGTTTAGCCTGTTTTAGAAACGGAGAGAAAGCCAGTGTGAACCTTGGAGTGTGACCCTGGAGAGACAGGCAAAACGTGGAAGCCATAGAGCTTCCTAATCCCTGGTTGGGAAACTCATTTTACTTCCAAATGCATTGGAAAGCCCTGGAGAATTTTGAGCAGGGAGGTAAGAACAGTTTATCATTTTTAAGTATACCTTTTATAATAAGTTAAATGCTAATAAACCAATGACTGCTTGAATATTATTTGGATTCCTTGAGAGAACACATGGCTAAAGAACAGACCTGTCTTGCTGCTCTCTAAAGCAATGAAGCTGATGGAAAACTCAGCTTTGCTGTTCAGCACACCGTCACCATGCCACCCTTTACGTGCCTTGAGCCAATGTGTGTATGTGCCTCTAAGACTTCTGAGACCAAAACCTCTCTTTCTGCCTACTTAGCATGCACACCACAATTCCTCTGAAGTGTCTGGGGGCTACCCGCTTTGCTGTGATCTTCTTTTAGTGTATTTTAATGGATTTTAGAAGAGTGTTAAATCTCTGCTTTGTAAAGCCTTATTCCTATCCTCAAATTATCTAAATTCATTACCTTCTTGCTATAATAGTTTAATTGAGTATAGGATACAAAGCTAATTTATTTCACATTTTTGCTTTTAATAGTTTTCACTTTTCTTATTGAAAAAGTAATTACTGAATTCCAATACAATAACTGGAAATGACTTTTCTAATAACACATATTATCATGTCATCATCAGAAGAAAATTCTTTGAAGTACCCTCAAGGTAGAAAGCCCTCCATATGTGTTTTCTATGTTCATATATACATATATGAGTGCATTTTAATGATGTGCTGATATTCTATTATTTTGCATGTACTATAATTAAATTGAACTATATAAAAAATGACTTTTTAGATCATAGATAATCAAATACTTGTTTATGGTTCAATCTAATGTAACAATTTTCCTACATTTTAATATTTTGTTTTTAATTTTTAATATCGAGAAATGCCATTTATACTCATCCTATGTTTATCTAAATATATGTATATAAATTATACTTGCACACTAGCCTAGTAATTTCTTTAGAATAAATTCTCAGTAGTTGAATTATTGCACATGGAAAAGAACATGTACATTTTTTTTTTTTTCCTTGAGACGGAGTCTCACTCTGTCACCAGGCTGGAGTGCAGTGGCACAATCTCAGCTCACTGCAACTTCTGCCTCCTGAGTTCAAGTGATTCTCCTGCCTCAGCCTCCCGAGTAGCTGGGACTACAGGCGCCCACCACCACGCCCGGCTAATTTTTTTTGTATTTTTAGTAGAGACGGGGTTTCACCATGTTGGCCAGGAGAACATGTACATTTCTAATGCATATATTTCCAAATTTATCTTAAACTTGTTTATACAATAGTATTATAAGTAGTAATACTGGATATGATTGTTTTAATTTTGGCCGATCTTTTAGGTAGAGAAAAAAAGTTTACTTTCGTGTGCATTTCCTTGACTTACCAATTAAAGCACTTGAGCATTTTTTATAATATTTTTCCACCACACCTGTCCCTTCAATCTTTTTTAACGGCATCCTCTCACATGCTGCCATTAATTCATGTACTGTGTTTAGCAAGCAAAGCATTTTCAGGTGGGGGTCATTCCTGAGGATAATAAAGTGGATGAAGTAGGTTCCATGGGATGATGATATCAACTCCAAGGGTTAAAAAGGTTCACCATTATATCTTTGGAAAATTAGCTTGCAGTTTGAGATTTGCTAAAAGCCAGCCCACAAGATGAACTTCACCAGGCTCTTGTCTAAATGCCCATCAGAGACATTCTGGAAATACTGTTTACTGGGTTAAGGCGTTAAGACATCTGGGTTAAGCGCCATCACTGGGATAGTTTTTCTGAAAAACCCAAAAACATTTATGATCTTCTATACAAAAGCAAAAACTTAACAAATACATGCTCTCTTACCAGAGTAACAGGGGAATATATTTTATGCCTGACTAGAGCTTTGCAAGGTTAAATAGGGAAGAAAGATAAAGAAAAAGAACAAGAACTATTTCCCGAGCAATATGAGAAAACGCTGGCATGTTGGAGTTTAGTCCCATGAACTCATTCACAGATGGGGCCCTCTGTCCCTCTCTCATAATCAAGAAAGTGATCAGGAATGGAGAATAAATGATTGATTCTAGAACTGTGGAGGAGTTCACTTCTCAGAATGCGGTTTCTGAGCCAGTAGCATGGCGTCAAGATACACCCCAGGCCTGCTAATTCAGAATCTGCATTTTAACAAGATCCCCAGGGATTCACATGCACCTTAGAGTGTGACAAGCCCTGATTTAGAAGATACTATTTGCAGAGCCTGAAGTACGTGAGGTATGGAAAGAGAGACGACAGAAAAAGAAATCACCAAGTTTCAGCCTTCTGATAAATAAATACATTGATTAATAATATGGTACACAAAGGGATGGAGATGGGAAGTTAAATAATGACCCAAGGCAGTGTGATATACAACACATGAGTGTGCAGTCCCAATTCCTTGTGACACAGAGCACCAGAGAAGAATAAATTCCAGTGAGTCGGATTAGTTTGTCTTTGATCCATTCAGAAATGTTAAATTAATGTTCTTGACATTATGAAATAAAACAACACATCTCAAGTGCTTACAATGATGTTTAGCACATGGTGTGCAGACAACCAACTTTAGCTAGTGTTATGGCTGTTATTATTGTCAGCATCTTTGTCCTTTGTCAAGTAATTGGACTACTAAAGGAAACAGTACATATTAGAGAAGAATATTGTGCTAATAAGTGTGAGGTATGATTATATAAGGCCACCTTAATTACTGCAAGAAAAGGAAGAGAAAAAGTTGTCACTTTAAAAAGCTCAGCAACAGAATATCCCGCATCAGCACTTAGTGGATATGCTTGCCATTAAAGCCATGGTGTGGAATTCCTGATTACTCAGCTTTTGCAAATTGAAAGAATAATAAATAGCACAAAAAGGAAAATGGTTACTTCTTCTAAGATGTATAGAAACAAACATCTAATTTTCATGTTATGCTTGTTTAATTAGGTAATTTACTGTAACATATATTTATCAGACAAGAGTACAGATAAGATGAGGCTCTTTTTCCCTTTATATCATATTATGAGTATTAATTTATACTGCACAAAGGACTTACTGATTCTTTTCATGCGCGTCCGTGTGAAGAGGCCACCAAACAGGCTTTGTGTGAGCAACATGGCTGTGTATTTCACCTGGGTGCAGGCGGGCTGAGTCCGAAAAGAGAGTCCGCAAAGGGAGATAAAGGTGGGGCCGTTTTATAGGATTTGGGTAGGTAAAGGAAAATTACAGTCAAAGGGGGTTTGTTCTCTGGCGGGCAGGAGTGGGGGTTCGCAAGGTGCTCAGTGGGGGTGCTTTTTGAGCCAGGATGAGCCAGGAAAAGAACTTTCACAAGGTACTGTCATCAGTTAAGGCAAGGACCGGCCATTTATACTTCTTTTGTGGTGGAATGTCATCAGTTAAGGTGGGGCAGGGCGTATTCACTTCTTTTGTGATTCTTCAGTTACTTCAGGCCATCTGGGCGAATACGTGCAGGTCACAGGGGATGCGATGGCTTGGCTTGGGCTCAGAGGCCTGACAATTCTCACATAATGATGTTGGTGATTGAGATTTACAGGCAAAAGACAAAAGTGTGACTATAGAATATAAGAAAAAAAAGAAGGGGAGAAAGTATATATTTAAGAAGAATGAAGTGTAACACTAAGAGACATAAAACCACTATTCTGGTATAAAATATAGTAGCCAATTCCATATTCTGGGAGTAAAGAAATAAATTCAAATGTTAGGTCATACCAAACAGCAAAGAAGGCTTGTACATGTGACCTACCCTTTCTGGGACTTAATTTCTCCATTTCTGAATAGAGAAGCCAGGATCAAATACAGATCACCTGAGAAACAGTGGAGAAGCTCAATATTGCCATGTTTTGTTTCAGGCATAGGCTTTGGAGTCAGGTCAACTTTCATCTGCTTTGCCCACTGAACTAGCGCTGTAGACTTGATCAAATTAACTTATTTGCATATTAATAAACAAATGAATGCTGGAATGAGTAGAGGAAATAGTGCTTTGATTAATTTCTAGAAATCTGCCTGTCTCACTCAGGAGCTGCTGGGTGTGGAAAATGAAGAGAGGAAGTAAGCGTAGTGTTGAGTTTTCCCAATTTGTCGCTCTTCTGAAGCTCTCTTTTTCACTTTTCGCTTGGGCTTTCACGTAAAAGTTGGTTTGAAAATAAGTTTTCTCTGGAAAAAAAAAATCTTATGTAAGAAGTCTTCAACCTTCTTAAACATGACAGCCATCCACCTTTATTGGGGAGAGGTAGGTGACTGTAGATTGCTGAATAGACACTGTGGCTTGTGTTAATGACTCATGAACATAGTTAACAGGGAACAAAAAGGACAGTGAGTATTTAAGTGGAAGAAAACATCAGAAACTTGCTACTCCATTCCAATATACATAGGAGGTGGGCATATTTAATGGAAAATGCAAACACGTTTAGCATTATGACTATGATTTAGAATGTTAGGAAACAATTTCTCTGATAAAATGCTATATATCTGTATATTCTAAATAGTTGTATCACTGAATCAGCCTTCGCACTTTTCTTCTAGCATTTGATGGCACCCAACCACGTCTTCAAGTTGTTATGCCTGTTTTCATTTCTTTATGAGACACGAATGTTGGCAAAAGAAATTGACAATTTTAAATTGACATAGCCTGTTTCCTTGGAATTTTAGAAAATTTTAACCTGTATTGCGAATTGAGATTTATCTTTGGCTTATATGTTTTTTATCATAGCCTATGAAATAAAATCTATTATTATTAATATTATGAATAAATAAACAGAAAATCTTTAAGATAGTGCATCGGTGTGGGAATATAACGCATGGAGCACCATTTGAACTTGATGAATATTAGCAAGTAACACAAAGGTTCATAATGGCTGATAATGCAGGTGGTAAAATGACTCATTTTATGTTATACATAAGGCACCCCTCTGAAGTATACCCACTTTGGAAAGATACACACAATCGAATTAGCTAAGAAACCTCCAAATATCTTTCTAGGATTTTTCATCTCTAGAAAAAGTCAGATATTCCTAAGAGGGAAATAAGTAGAACTATTCTACAAAAAATAGTTAACACAGCAGGCCTGAGTCGGATATCTTCAAGCCTGCTTGCAAGGTTGGCCCTTGGCTGCCATCTGGGAACATGTATTTTGAGATAGTCCCCATTTTTCTCTGATAAGAATGCCTCATTGCACCTAAACTGTTTACACAAACAATATTGTTTAGGCTGAATACCTACTTTCCTCTAGGTATCTAGAATTTTGGTAGTCAAAGTTGGGTGGCAGGGGTGCCTATGTGACCAGCCACCAATAAAACACCTGAGCTCTCAGCTCTAATGAGCTTCCCTAGTAGACAATATTGTATTCATGTCAGAAATATTTCTGGAACAATTAAGTGTGTCATATGCGATCCCACTGGGAGAGGATTCTTAGAAGCTTGTACCTATTTTCTTTGGACTTCATTCCATGTGACTTCTCCCCTTGCTGATTTTGCTTTTCATCCTTTCACTGTAATAACTCATAGCCATGAACAGGACTATCAAACTTGGGCTTGGTCTTGTGGACCACCAAGGCAACTGTATTATTGTGTGTGTGTGTGTGTGTGTGTGTGTGTGTGTGTGTGTGTTTCTATTAATATCGTTGTTTATTTGATGCTCATATTTTCCCAGTTTTATCAGTAGAAGCCCCTCCAAGGCAGTTCCCATATCCTTTTGACAGATTCCCTTAATTTTTTTATGTTATTTGATTTTTTAAAATTATACTTTAAGTTCTGGGATACATGTGCAGAACGTGAAGCCTTGTCACATAGGTACACACGTGCCATGGTGGTTCACTGCACCCATCAACCTGTCATCTACATTAGGTATTTCTCCTAATGCTATCCCTCCTCTAGTCCCCCACCCCCAGACAAGCCCCAGTGCGTGATGTTCCCCTCCCTGTGTCCATGTGTTCTCATTGTTCAACTCCCACTTATGAGTGAGGACATGTGGTGTTTGGTTTTCTGTTCTCGTGTTAGTTTGCTGAGAATGATGGTTTCCAGTTACATCCATGTCTCTGCAAAGGACATGAACTCATCCTTTTTTATGGCTGTTTTTAAAATGTTCACCTAAAAAACAGATATTAATCAATTGCCCACTGTGTATCAGACAGTGTTCTGGTTACTGGGGATACAGCAGTGTTTAAAACAGAAAATTCCTCTGCCAAAACTAGAAGATGTCATAGTTAGTCTTAATAGAATGCTATAATGTCCTAAATATTGTTTAGGCTCAAAGCGCCTACTTTGGCCATCGGCAAATTAGAATTATATCAGCAAATTAACAAGATATCCCCTAAAATACCCTTGATGCATGCGGAGACTTCCTCTATCCATTTCTTATACCATGTTGACCCCCTCATTCTCCCTCCCCTTGGTGCCAATTTATTATGACCACACTATGTAATGTTGCATGAATTGTTTTGTAATTACTCTCTAGTGCTTCAAGTGGGTATATTTCATCTTCCCAGTAAGTAGAGAGCAAATACAATACCTCTTTTATGGGTTATTTTCATCCTAAGGTTGCTCAGTCTGGTGTCCTGCAGACAAAGTGTGCTTTCAAACATTTGATAATTTTTTAATGTATCCAATGCTCTGAAACTATTGCTGCATTTCTGTCTTTGAGCATGACTTTTTTTTACCTGATAGCCACAACAAGTTCATATTATGTTTTACTTTTGGATTTTCCCAAAAGAGCTATGACTAGAGGATAGCATTTCCACCTGGGGCTTTGTCTGACTTGTCCATGACTGGTAATTACAGTTTTTGTCTAGATGTGACTTTTGGTCCAGTCTCTGAGCCTCCAGCAAACCATACATCTTCGATAAGCCATGATGCTTAGAGAACTCATTGTTTCAATCACACAGCCATGAAAGAGAACCACCGACATTTGTCTCAAATGAAAATGGAGCCAAAATTCATAGGCAAAGTCACTCTCCCACAGATTTCACAGAACTTAGAGATTCAGAGAAAGCGAGGGTGTTCCGTTCCATTGTTTTTGCTTGTTTATATTTTCCATTGATCCAAAAATAATTTTAGCCTGAGAAGACAAGGGAGATCAGTGAGTGGCAGAGACATTTTGGGGGTGACGTTCTGGCAAGGGAATTCAGACTTTGAGAAGCTCATCAAAATGATTTGGGAAAGTTTTGTACCCAAATTAACAGGCAAAGTGTGTCTTTGTCAATAATAGGATAATCTATTTTTCTACTAATCAATACTTGAGCAAAAATTATGATTTCAAGTACTACCTTATTGTTCCAGCAATTCTATGCCATTGGTTGAGAAATGAGATGCATCCATTTTAGAGTTGCTCCTACAGAACAATCAGTGCTTTCCTGGGTTATATTTATAAACGCATTCTCAGTTCTGTGTCAAAAATACAGTTTTACATTATTTTTTCATTCGCGTTATTAAACATTATTTAACCTCAGAATGATGAAATGGATTAATAATATGTCAAGGAATGATAGTGTAAGCTCTCAGTACATTGCGTGAGGCACATATCACTATTAATAATCTAGAATTGTATGGCAGTCATTAATACTTTTGTTTTAATCCTGTGATGCTGTCAGATTATTTTGTATACCATTCGTCTTTTACTTTCAGGGTCATGACTTGAAATTTTTTAAACTTATTCTTTACGGTATATTCAGGTATTTAAAAGTTCAGTAGAAATGGGATGGAACCGTTAAAATGTAGAGCTTTCCTCTCTTGGATAAGGAGACCTTTTTCCAGAATTCTAAGTGAACTGCTATGGCATGATGAAGACTAGCACTCTCAGGCCAGGTGCAGTGGCTCACGCCTGCAATCCCAGCACTTTGGGAGGCTGAGGTGGAGAGTTTGAGACCAACCTAGCCAACATGGTGAAACCCCACCTCTACTAAAAATTAAAAAAAAAAAAAATTAGCCTGGCATGGTGGCAGGCATCTGTAATCCCAGCCATTTGGGAGGCTGAGGCAGGAGAATCGCTTGAACCTGGGAGGTGGAGGTTTCAGTGAGCCGAGATTGTGCCATTGCACTCCAGCCTGGGCAACAAGAGTGAAACGTCATCTCTGGGGAAAAAAAAAAAAAGGCTAGTGCTCTCAATGTGCTGAGTCTTTTGTCCCTGACTTAATCTAAGTATAGTGCACCGTTCTCAATTCATAAGCACAGTTGACCCTTGAACAACAGAGTTTTGAACTATGTGGGCCCACCTATACGCAGATTTTTTTTCAATAAATATATTTTTAAATGTTTAGAGATTTGTGACAATTTGAAAAAACTCACTGATGAACCACATAGCCTAGAAATATCAAAAAATAGGAAGAAGTTAGGTATGTCATGAATGCATAAAATGTATGTAGATACTAGTCTATTTTATCATTTACTAATTACCATAAAATATACACGAATCTATTATAACAAGTTAAAAATTATCAAAACTCATGGACACACACTTACAGACCATGCATGGAACCATTAACAGTAGAGAGAAATGTAAACAAACAGGAAGATGTAATACTAAATCATAACTGCATACAATTAAGTAGTATGTAACTGTACTACTATAGTAATTTTGTAGCCACCTCCAGTTGCTATTATGGTGAGTTCAAGTGTTCCTACTGTCCACTTAAAACTCTGTGTGATGCTAATCACCTCCTCCTGAGCAGTTTGTCTCTCCAGTAAATTGCCTAGTACAGTAAAAAGCGATCTCTCACGATTCTCACTTAATTTTCACTGTATTTAGTGCAATACAGTAAAGCTTGAATAACACCATGAGACCCATGCAAAGTGCCACTAGTGATGCTGGAAGTGCTCCCAAGAAGCAGAGAAATGTCATGACATTACAAGAAAGAGTTGAATTTCTTGGTATGGACTGTAGATTGAGGTCTGCAGATGGAGTTGCCACCATTTCAGACAGACAATTCATTTTGTAAACAATGTCAACTTATGGTATCAATAAATACAGTACTGTACTGTAAGTCTATTTTTTCTTCCTTATGATTTTAACATTTTCTTTTCCCTTGCTTACTTTATTGTAATAATATAGTATATAATATATATATAACATACAAAATATGTGTTAGTCAACTGTTGATGTTACTGGTAAGGCTTTTGGTCAACAGTATGCTATTAATATTTAAGTTTTTAGGAAGTTAAAAGTTGTACTCAGATTTTTGACTGTGCAGGAAGGGCTGGTTCCCCTAACTTCCATGTTATTTAGCTGTATAGCATTATATGCTTACTGTACATATTTTGTATACTTACCCCAATAGGAGCATTTTGCATGTTCCTTTTAGGAAAGTTGTGTTGACTCATAACCATAAATGGCTGTTTCCTATGTGCAAGTGATAGATTCTCTTGTGACTATTTCTAACATGGCAGTTCAACCAATTTGACTTTAGGTCCAGTGTTTTGGCCAGCTAAAAACAATGCCTGTTTAAATGTGTAACTGAAGGACCAGAGTCTCTGTGAAGTCACCTTCTAAAAATTAACCCCTTCTCTTGGCTGAAAATTGTAATGGAGACAGAAATAGGTAGAGGCTTAGGTGGTTTGATCATAGAACTCTACTTGAAGAGCTACATAGCTCAACAGTCTAGATACATAAGAGGATAAAAGAGAATGAGAAACAAAAAGCAAGTCAAGATTAGTTTTCTATGACCTCACCATGCCCACAAGAATACCAAACTGGCAACAGAACCCAGAGCTTTCCCTGTTTTAAAGTTAATTTTAACTTTCAAGATTAATGTAAATCTAGGTAGCCAAGAGTCTCCATCCTATGTCCAGAGGAACCAAGACCAGAAAGCTGTTTCAGAGTTGAATATCTGATATTTAGTGATGAGGTTGTCCTTGCTTGAGTGCTGGACCTTAGTTATCCCTAAGTTTCTTGTGAGGCGTGTGATGTATTGACAAGAACTTAAAGATTTGGTCATCAGGGTTTCTAGGTCTAAACATGAGTTCTACCGTTTACTCCCTGGGTGATCTTGGGCAAGGTGCTGAACTACTGTAAGCCTCAATTCTACTTTTTAAATGACAGTCAGCATTACCAGATAACGTTGGAGCATTAACAAGAATATCTGTGTCAAAAAGTAAGGAAGTAGTCAATAAATAAGTAAATAGGTGAGGATAATAGTATGGCAAAGGGGCACCAGAATTTCTCAACAACCAATGTTTGAACAACTAGAGCAGCAAAATAAATAACACAGTTCTAGATTATAATCTGAAGTATAAATATACATGAGGCCATACTGATGTAAAGAAATGACTTCATAAATAAATACATAAAATAAAAGTGTCAAGTCATGCTTACAAGGAAGATTCCAAACAACAGCGTAGGTAGATTCTGTCCCCTCCAGTACCCAGGAGATGCGATATAATTCCTGTGTTCCTTTCTTAACATTGACTGGGGCATGCACTTAGTGACTCGTTGTCAAAGAATATAGTAAGAAAGGGGGAGAAAGGGTATTTTTATCGTGGAGAAACTAGGTAAATACTACCTTAACCAAACCAATAAGGATTAACATCTCCAGCATGTTATGTGGATATCATGGGCTCCTTGTCATTCTGTGAACTTCCCCTTTGAGATAGTCTCCCATAACCTATAATTCCAGTCTAATCATAAGAAAAACGACAGACAAACATAAATTGACAGTCTACAAAGTATCTAACCAGTATTCCTCAATCTGTCAAGGTCCCGAAACCACTGAAGGCCAGCCAAGTCTAAGTAAACATGATAAGAAAGTGCCAGGTGGTATCCAGGATGGAGTCCCAGGATGGGCCAAGGGGTGGGGTGGGGAGCATTCATGGAAAAATTAGTGAAATATGAGGAACACCTGAAGTTTAAAGTAATGGGTCAGTGTTGGTTCTTAGTTTTGATAAATGTGTCATGGTAATGTAAAATGTTAACATTAGGAAAAATCAGAAGGTGGTATACTAGAAATCACTGTACTATTTTTACATCTTTTCTGTAAATCTAAAGTAATCATACAATTTAAAAGTTTATTAGAGAAGAAGAATAAGAATTGGACTTGTAACTAAGGGGTGTGTTGCCCAGTAAGTGACAGAAAAAAAAATCAATTTGTTTATTCTTCTTTTTCTTACCCATACTGAGAATAAGGGCTCTCAGGCACTGAAGGCTGCACATCTTATGATTGCATCTGCATGAAGGTCAATAATAAGCAGAGCTAAAGTGCAGTGCTGGAAGCCAGGAGGGCAGGCACCCTTAAAGGGCATGACAGTGACAGGGGTGGGGGCACGAGGAGGAGAATGCTAAGGTTATAGACATGCCCTGTTTCTTGCTCTGGATTCTGGTTACATAGATGTGGTCACCTCGTCGAAATTCATCTTACTGGAAAATTAATATTTCTTCACTTTTCCATTTTTGTGTTATACTTAAATTTACAAAAAAATAAAAAAGTTTATATTATGGGGCTGGGCATGGTTGCTCACGCCTGTAATCCCAGCACTTTGGGAGGCCGAGGAGGGTGGATCACCTGAGGTCAGGAGTTTGAGACCAGCCTGGTCAACATGGTGAAACCCCGTCTCTACTAGAAATACAAAAAATAGCCAGGCATGGTGGTGCACACCTACAATCCCAGCTAATCGGGAAGCTGGGTCAAGAGAATCGCTTGAACCTGAGAGGCGGAGGTTGCAGTGAGTCGAGATCGTGCCATTGCACTCCAGCCTGGGCAACAAGAGCGAAACTCCATCTCAAGAGAAAAAAAATTAAAAAGTTTATATTAAAGAATAAATGTCAGAGATAAATGGAGAGTACAGGGTTGCAGTTCATTTGAGGATTGCATTATCTCTCCTTCCTAAAGTTCAATTTGTGTCTCAACTGACTGCATCAAAACTAACCCCAACGTCTTTTCAAGGTCATCTATAACACACACAATGCATGCTGCTCTTCAAGTCCTAAGAGAAAACAGAATTAGTAGGGCTGCCTTCTCATTCACAGGATCATACCTTAACTATTCAGAAATTGACAGTTCATTGTGATCACCACCAGGTGTACAGTATTTAGACTAAACAGACAGTAAAGATACAATTCCAAAAGCTTCATGATAATTCCATTTTCATGAATCCATGTATGTTTTCTTTCAAGTTTCAATTGTGTTTAAATTTTAGGCTGGGAAAAAATAGAGAAAAGACATTTGCCTTTTTCTGAGCAATTTAATTATGGAAAGGGGGTACTCATTTTTTAGCACAATCTGGTTTTATCTGAGGTTCGTCTGTGATCAGTGGCAAGCAACTAGTTTTTGTTTTTACACAGGGAAAAATATGGAAGCAGTTTTTGACTCAAAGGCCCTACTCACTTTGAGTTGGATGTCCCCTGAGAAATACCTAAGAAGTAGCTTTAAAATAAATTGGAAAGCGAAGTAGGAAAAAGGTAGGGGAAGGAAGAGGAGTGAATGAAGAGTCAGCAAATGAGCAGGTTTCCATTTGAAATTTAAATTGGCAGCTGGCACTATTTGAATCATTCTTCATTTAATATAATTTGAATGGGGTAGATGATAATCTTGCATTTTGAGAAGGCAAAGCAAAACCTTGAATATGAGGAATGTACAAACCTCTGTTATTTTGCACAGCTCAGTTTAACACACTTCCCTTCACTATGCTTAGAAGAAAATGAGGTGTAGGTACTTTAGTTGTTTATTTCTTGTCAGCACAATGCATAAATGATGTAAGCGCAAGATTCGAACCACATGGTATGTGGCTATACACGATTAAATGGAATTATTGAAACAAGGGGCAAAAAGAAAACCTTGAACTTGTGATTGAGTGAAAGGGAAACATCCATAATGTTGAAATTAAGGTGGGATTAAAAGATAGTCATTAATAACAAAGTTATCATGCTAGTAGAGGTTGATCAGTTAGGAACGATATGAGGAAAAGAAAACTTAATTAACTACAGAAATATGTAAATTACTTTTTATACATTCCAGATAATGTGTTTTATTTTTCTAGAACACTGATTTTGTATACTTATTTTAATCAGCATTCTGAATACAAACATCTCAAAAATACAAACACTTCACATACGAGGAATGCTAAAATTAGACTAGAAAACAGCCACAGAACAAAGAGAATAGCACAAAAGAGTCTTACAAGGAAGACATTCTGACAGACCCATGAAAATAGACACAGTGTCCTAGACTGGATGTATTATATCATCTCACATATTAGAGAAGGGGACTGATTGTTATTGTTCTTCTAGAGAGAATGTGCATTTTGCCAGCCTGATCAGATTTTATCCTCATGATGTTTAGAGGTACATATTGCTTCTCCGGTTTTATACATGAAATAATTGAAGCTTGAAAAAGTAACTTTAGGCTCAGGTAGTTATAGAAACCATCAGAATTTGAACCCAGGTCTTATGTGATCCTGAAGCTACTGCCCTTGGTTAACATTTTGCAGACATCTCCATTTTCCTCAGTGACAACCAAGGAAATCATATGTATTAGAAAAATCTCAGGGAAATTTTAGATATATTTAGAAGCATGAGGAAAAAAATGGGAATTAAAAAAAAAAAAATCACATCTTTACGAAAGGTACAGAAGAATGGGCCGGGCACGGTGGCTCACGCCTGTAATCCCAGCACTTTGGGAGGCCGAGGAGGGCAGATCACGAGGTCAGGAGATCGAGACCATCCTGACTAACACGGTAAAACCCCGTCTCTACTAAAAATACAAAAAATTAGCCGGGTGTGGTGGAGGGCGCCTGTAGTCCCAGCTACTCGGGAGGCTGAGGCAGGAGAATGGCGTGAACCCAGGAGGCAGAGATTGCGGTGAGCCGAGATTGTGCCACTGCACTCCAGCCTGGGTGACAGAACGAGACTCTGTATCAAAAAAAAAAAAAAAAAGAAAAAAAGAAAGAAAGAAAGGTACAGAAGATAGAAGAAAATAAAACAAATGATGAATGATTCTAGGAGGTGTAACTGATTCTAAAGGAGTTGGAAACTACAGGCAGTGACATCCGGACCCCAACTCCCCTTCAAGAGCACCTCTGGGGTGTAAAGGGGAAAACAGACTTGGGAATTAACCTACTTGGGGTTTGGAGTCTGGCTCTATAAAACTATTTGTGTGACTGCCTGCAACCTCTTTGTGTTTCTGTTTGTTAATTTATGAAGTAGGAAGGATAACGTCTGCATCATTGAAGTTTATTGTGAATATTAAGTTAGATGATACAAATAAAGAACTGAATATACCTAGAATCCATTAAGCTCTCGGATGTTAGTTCCTTCCTCATTTCATAATATTTCTCTTCAGTAGAATACAGAAAAGGGCCCACAAGGGATGGATGTTATTTGCTCTGCCTATGATAAGAAAGAATTTTAGAGTCTTGCCAATTATTCGGCCTCATGTGGATCAAGCACATAGATATTAGGTCTATTCTTTTCCTTTTTTTTCTGTCCAGATGCTTGGATTCATGTACATGAAACTGCTTGTTGCATAAGGACCAAAGACTGAAATATTAATAATGGAATTGCATTTTCATGTGGACTCAACTTATCAGTTCCCAAATTTCTACCTTGCTGTGCGAACAGAGAACATGTGGAAACGTCTCTAGGTGTCTGCAGTTCACTCAGTTTCTCTAATTCTAATTATTAATATGGCATTAGACATAGAAGAGTTAAGAAGCTCAAGAATCAGTCTAGGATTACTTGCTTGTCATTTAATGTGTCAGCCTGGTAAAGACAAATATTTTATGTAAATTCAACAAGAAGTAAAAGAATATAAATTATCTAGTGGCCAATAGCTTAAATACATAACCTGGGAATATAATCAGCCATGAGATTCAGGAAGGGTGTTTCACAGTTGTGCATAATTTATAATGAGAGGGCAGGTATAAATATAGGTAATAAGGGATGAAGGTATTTATACTTTTAAAATATTTAAATGTAGTTTGATTACATCCCCAAATAACTTTTTCTGCCCTGTCATCTGGTGTAACTAAATATAGCCTGGCATTCTGGTAGATCGGAGATGTATCTTCTCTGTGGATAATTAGCCTCTTGTATTAAAAATAAAACCTATAAATATCACTTCATTAGTAGGATTCTATCCTCTTCCCTGCTCTCTTTATGATCTGGAATAACCCACAGACATTTAGAAGTCTAATGGCCAGAACGAAATAACCGAGGTTGGTTTTCGGGGCTGTTGAGTGTTGTGGGTCAATAATGAAAACGGACTGCTCCTAGGTTTTAGATCAACGAGCTCTCAAGGGAAATAAATGAAATGAAGAGACCATGGGAGTCAGGAATTTGCTAGTTGCCTCATTTCCACTTTTTGTATATTCTTCTTAGTTTTCCTTGTACATTAAATCATTATGCTCTCACCAAGGAGAGAATGATAAGTACCTGATTCATAAGATCTTCTTTTCTAAGTAAGTTCCTAATTTTTTCAAGGGTAAATAATAATAATTCAATTCTTCAGTTCTTCTAAGCATCATCTATCATGAGTTCAAATATGGTCACATTAACATAAATGTTCAAACTATGATAGCTCTTAACCATTGAGGAACTTAACTTTTCCCCTGGATTTTTTTCAGGAGTCACTGAATGAAATGAGATGGCTGTGTCCCCACCCAAATCTCAACTTGAATTTTATCTCCCAGAATTCCTACGTGTTGTACGAGGGACTCACGGGGAGGTACTTGAATCATGGTGGCCGGTCTTTCCCATGCTATTCTCATGATAGTGAATAAGTCTCAGAGATCCGATGGATTTATCAGGGGTTTCCACCTTTGCTTCTTCCTTATTTTCTCTTGTCACCACCATGTAAGAAGTGCCTTTCACCTACCACCATGATTCTGAGACCTCCCCAGCCATGTGGAATTGTAAGTTCAGTTAAAGTTAGTCCTCTATTTCTTCCCCATCTTGGGTATGTCTTTATCAGCAGCATGAATACAGACTAATACAGTAAACTGGTAACAGTAGAGTGGGGCATTGCTTAAAAGATACCCAAAAATGTGGAAGCAACTTTGGAACTTGGGTAAGAGGTAGAGGTTGGACCAGATTGGAGAGCTCAGAAGAAGAGAGAAAAATGTGGGAAATTTTGGAACTTCCTAGAGACTTGTTGAATGGCTTTGCCCAAAATGCTGATAGTGATATGGACAATAAGGTCCAGGCTAAGGTGGTCTCAGATGGAGATGAGGAATTTGCTGGGAACTGGAGCAAAAGTGACTCTTGTTATGTTTTAGCAAAGAGACTGGTGGTATTTTGCCCCTGCCCTAGAGATCCATGGAATTTTGAACTTGAGAAAGATGATTTAGGGCATCTGGCTGAAGAAATTTCTAAGCAGCAAACCATTCAAGAGGTGACTTGGGTACTGTTAAAGGCATTCAGTTTATAAGGGAAGCACAGCATAAAAGTTTGGAAATTTTGCAGCCTGATTATGTGGATAGAAAAGAAAAACTCATTTTCTGGGGAGAAATTCAAGCTGGTTGCAGTAATTTGCATAAGTAGCAAGGAGCCTAATGTTAATCCCCAAGACCATGGGGAAAATGTCTCCAGGCCATGTCAGAGATCTTCACAGCAGCCCTTCCCATCACAGGCCCGGAGGCCCTGGAGGAAAAAGTGGTCTTATGGGCCGGGTCCAGGGTCCCCGCGCTCTGTGCAGCCTAGGGACTTGTTGCTCTGTGTCCCACCTGCTCCAGCCATTGCTGAAAGGGGCCAATGTACAGCTTGGGCTGTAGGGGCTGTGGCTTCAGAGGGTGGAAGCCCCAAGCCTTGGCAGCTTCCATGTGGTGTTGAGGCTGTGGGGGCACAGAAGTCAAGAATTGAGGTTTGGGAACCTCTGCTTAGATTTCAGAAGATGTATGGAAATGCCTGGATGCCCAGATAAAAGTTTATTGGAGGGGTAGGGCCCTTAAGGAGAACCTCTGCTAGGGCAGTGCAGAAGGGAAATGTGGGGTTGGAGACCCCACACAGAGTCCCTACTGGGTCACTGCCTGGTGGAGCTGTGAGAAGAAAGAGGGCCACCATCCTCCCAGAATGGTAGATCCACCAACAGCTTGCACTGTGCACCTGAAAAGCCACAGACACTCAATGCCAGCCTGGGAAAGCAGCCAGGAGGCAGGCAAAGCCACAGGGGTGGAGCTTTCCAAGACCATGGGAACCCACCTCTTGCATCAGCGTGACCTGGATGTGAGACCTGGAGTCAAATGAGATCATTTTGGAGCTTTAAAATTTGACTGCCCTGCTGGATTTCAGACTTGCACGGGCCCTGTAACCCCTTTATTTTGGAGAATTTCTCCCATGGAAACAGCTACATTTACCCAATACACATACCCCATCGTAACTAGGAATTAACAAGCTTGCTTTTGATTTTATAGGCTCATAGGCAGAAGGGACTTGCCTTGTCTCAGATGAAACTTTGCACTCTGGACTTTTGGGTTAATGCTGAAATGAGTTAAGACTTTGCAGGACTGTTGGGAAGGCATGATTGGTTTTGAAATGTGGGGACATGAGATTTGGAGGGGCCAGGGCGGAATGATATAGTTTGGCTGCGTCCCCACCCAAATCTCAATTTGAATTGTATCTCCCAGAATTCCCACATGTTGTGGGAGGGACCCAGGGGCAGGTAATTGAATCATGGGGGCTGATCTTTCCCGTGCTATTCTCATAATAGTGAATAAGTCTCACGAGATCTGATGGGTTTATCAGGGGTTTCCACTTTGGCTTCTTCATTATTTTCTCTTGCCGCCATGAAGTAAGAAGTGCCTTTCACCTCCTGCCATGATTCTGAGGCCTCTGCAGCCATGTGGACCTGTAAGTCCAATTAAACCTCATTTTCTTCCCAGTCTCAGATATGTCTTTATTGGCAGCATTAAAACAGACTGATACACAAAGAATGTACATTTAGTAGTTGCCCTTCATGAAAACTCAAGAGCATTGCTTCTCAAGTGCTAGGCATTCTACTACCTTCTCCTTTGGACACACGAGTGCTCTTCAGGAAGCCGCTCTTGTGCTGAAAGGTCCCAGAGCAGTACTGTGAACTTTGGGGCAATGGAGGAGGTTTGGGCAACTTCTCCTCTTAACTAAGTTGTTCTTGGTTACCTGTCCCCTGCAGCAGATGCTTGGCCCAGACACATAGAAAACCTAATATAAACAAACACTTTCAGTACTTAACGCTAGCCCTTCTCTCATATATCAACTAGGTCTGGCTAAGTTATGCTACCCACAAATCTCAGTGGCTTAAAACCAAAAAAACTTTGTTTTGTTTTGTTTTGTTTTTTCTCCCACAAAGTGCCTCTCAGGGCTTAACAAAGGAGCTCTGCTTGTGGGAGACACTCAGAGACCAAAGTGAGTGGATTAGCTCTCACCTCAAATTCTGCTGCTTCCTATGCCAGAGAGAAAGGAAACTATTTCAAGGACAATTAAATGCTTGACCTGAAAGTGACACATTGCACTTTCACTTACAACTTATTGGCCATAATTATCATATGACCCCACTTAGGGGCAGGGAAGGTCCAGGAAGTACAATTCTATCATGTACCCTCATGGAGGGGAAACTGGAGACTTTTGGTGGACACAACAATCTCTTTGTGAAAGGGCTCAAAACCTGGCTGAGTGAGAACCATTAAAAGCCTATCTTTTTTATTCTCCATGATTTCCAATCCCCTCCCACCTATGCCCAGGCACTTCTATGCAGACCATTCCTCAGGAAATAAACAAAATTATCCATCTCAGGGAATTAATTGATGCAAACAGATACCTTCAGAGTTTCTTTACTTTTCAAATTCACTAGCAATCTAATTTGGACTCAGCTAAGATACCTTACAATAACATATTTTTATTTTTGAATGATGTCGACATTACAAGCTATTTTACAGGCTGATTTGATTCTCATGAAAATGTTTGCAACTGAAGCTAGCCATGTATTATTTTCCCCATTTGATATTATAAAGCTACATCTCAGAAAGTTTGAATGGCTTGCTTAACACTACCAAGCTAGTTAATGGTAAAATTTGGTTTACAATTTTAGAATCCAAGCCTAACTATTCTTTTCTTACTAAACCATTTTGATTTATTCTCAGAAAAAGGAATAAATTGAACTATACCTCAGAAGATACAGGGAAGTTTGCTTATTTCTTTTCATTATATTGCTTTTTTGTCGTAATACCTGGGAATGATATGTGTCAATGTGAGTCAAAGAACTTGTTCTTAGATCGTTATGAGTTATCAGGAAAATATTAACTTGTCTTAATAATCTGAGCAAGTTATCACCAGACTTTTAATTTTACCTATTTCCTAACCCCAAAAGCACATATCAGAAAAATTTGGCATATTACAATAAAACCATATGCTAGTTGGTAATATTGAAATGAATAATAATGTCAGACAATAGTGTCACAATCCAACCATTTGCTTGAGTCAAAAACTTATAATCTTCCTTGATTCTCCATTTTTTTTGTTGTTTATTGAACTCTCCAGCCCTATCTAACCCAACAGGAAATCCCATTCTCTCTTCTTCCAAAATATTTTAAAACCAATCTCCTCTCACCGTCTGCACAGCTAGTACAAGCCGACAGCATCCTTCCCATTGAGTACAGAATCAGTCGTGAAACTAATTTCCCTACTTCCTCAGATTCTTGTTGGAGTCATTTTTTACCCAGCAGACAGAATGATCTTTTCTTAAACATTTTTTAAGTTACGTAACATAATGCACATATGAGAAAGTGCATAAAACATAAATACACTGCTTAACTAATTGTTGTAAGGTGAACACTCTAGTAGCTATTATCAATGGGCTCAATAAATAGAACATTATCTTTACCTAGAAGCAGGAGGGACAGGTATTTCTGATCAAAATCATTTTTTCTTTTGTACATGTAACTGTGTTGATATTTTATTGATACATAATAGTTGTATGTATTTGGGGGGTACGTCTTACATTTTCATAACAGTATGCAATGTGTAATGATCAAGTCAGGGTAATTGGGATATCCATCACCTCAAACATTTATTTTGTCCTTTTGTTGGGAACATTACAATTCTTCTCTTCCAGCTATTTTGAAATATACAATAAATATTTTTTAACTATAATTTCCCTGCTGTGCTATTGAATACTAGAACTTACTTCTATGTAACTGTATTTTTGTTATGGTAATAACTTCCTTATTTGGTTTATATGTACTCACAAATAATATAAATTTTCTAACTTCTTTTAGAATTTTCTATTAAAAAATTATATCATTGTTTATTATTTTTGTATCTAACTTATTTTATGATATACGTATCTATGTTGCTGTGTGTTTCTGCACATAGTTTTGTTGATATAGTTGTTCCAGTTCTCTGTTGCTATGTAACAAACCACTCCTAACTGGCACAGAAAGAACTGTTTTATTATGTTCATAGATTCTGTGGGTTGGGAATTCAAACAAAGTATAGCTTGGAGATTTGTCTCTGCTTCATAAAGCCTGGGGTATCACCTGAAGAGGCTCAGATGTCTGGGGACTAGAATTACCTGGAGTCTTCCTCATTTACATGTCCAGCAGCTGGGCTAAGGTGACGAAGCAAACACTACAAATCAGTGTGCCTGCAAGTGTCTATTAACATAACCTGGGCTTCCTTAAAGCGTGGTGGTGTCAGAGGAGTCAAATTTCTTACAAGTGGCTCAATACTCCAAGAGAAAACGTTTCAGCAGCGCTGGACAGAAACACATACCCTTTTATGAACACACGTCCTTTTATGAATGAGGACACATGACATCATTTTCACCAAATTTTGATGATTAGACCTGCCACAATCCCAAATGTATTCAAATGGTGGATCCATGGATCCAGCATATTTTAAACAACAAAATAGTATTCCACTGTGTTAATATACTATAATTTAATTATTCATTCTGTTCTTAATAGATATTTGAGTTGCTTCCATTTTGAACTATTATGAACAATACTTCTGTAAACATTCTTTGGTGTGTATTCTGGTATAGGTCAGCATGCATTTCTGAAAGAAATATACATAGGAATATAATTGCTAAGTTTTAGAGTATGCAATATTCAGCTTTATGAGATACCATCAAAAGGTTTATCAAAGTGATTATACCAATTTACACTGCCCCCAAACATAAAAGTGGGAACACTCTTGCCAACACAAACTGAGATTTTCGGAATCTAACTTTTTTTTTTTTTTTTTGCTTAATGTCCCTTGGAAATTCCAATAGCACTTGACATAAAAATGAAACCGTTTACCGTGGCCTACAGGGCTTAGATGACCTGGTCTCTGCACTTCTCTGTGGACTTATCTTCACCTTGCCATAAGGCTGCAGCCTCATGAGCCTCCTTTCTAGCCCTAAAACAAGACAAACTCATTCCCCACCTGGGACCCTTGTACCTGCTCTTTCCTCTCCTGGAAAGCACACATCCCCCAAGTCCAATATCTGTTCCTCAAGGAGGACTTGTGTGACCACCAATATAAAATGCATTCCACTCCCCACCCCTAGTTTCTCCCTTTAATGCTATTCTGTTTTCATCAGATCACATAAGCACCACATAAAATTATCTTTTTTATATGCTTGTTTATTTATATTGTGTCTATTACCCCTAGAATTTATAGTGTCTTGAAATGTGTAAAAGACTGCTTTTTGAATTAATGCATTTTTATAATTAATTAAGTAATTGAGTAAACTTACCTAGCTGTGTGATAATAGGTGTTATGTTTTTTATTCTTCTTATGCATTTATTTATGTCAAGCACAGTGCTTGGGACTAGTGGATGTTCAGTAATATTAATAATTGAAATAATTTGGCTCACATTAATGTTGAAGTGGAAAGAAATTTTGTGTCCTAGATTGGCCAAGTTTTAAGATGGGTTGATCACTCTGGGCTCTGAGAGATTAGAAAGAACTATGTTTACTCCTCTGTAAGAAGGCCATTTAGATAACCCACCTGACTGTCCTCATTATCAATTTTCTCCTTTTTATTTATTTGGTTTCTTTCTATTGTCTGTTCACTCACCCTTTGATGGATAATGCTCAGGCATCTTCTGCAGGTTAGCCTGACACTAAAATTTAACTCTCATATTTTTGAAGCTTCGATAAAAGTAGTCGATGCTGGAAAACTGTCTCTGACACAGTGAGCAGCTCTTTGTTTTGCAGTAAGTGGAGTCTTTAAAAAGATTGTGATTTTTATTGTCCCTTTCTTTGTGACAATCGTGTGAAAGGGTCAGTTAATTATGCAAATTTGGAACTTCTGAGAGGAAGCCAATTGAGAAGCAGTGAATGAAGCAACCCAATCACCCTGGAGGCAGAGATACCCCGTCCTCTTACTTGGAGGCTGTCTCAGCTCAACTGAGTGCAGTGACTCTTTACCTGCATACGGCTTGCGAAACCCACTCAGAGTCTATTCAATGGATCTGCAGCAGGGTCTGAGAATCTGCATTTCTAACAAATCCCCAGGTGATGCAGATGCTGGTGGTCTGAGTGCCACACTCAGAGAAACACTGCTATAAGACGAGCTGTTCTTTTCCCCCTGAATATCTGAATTTGTCCTTTTTGAACTTCCCCTTAGACCCCAAAGGCCTATACTCAAAACTCCAATTGTATATCCAGCCCCATCTTCTTTTTGGAGTGGGACTCCCATGTCTTTCAATGATCACTAGACATTTCCAACTAAATGAGATTTTGACGGTTCATACTCAATGACCTTGGGAAAGTGCCCTAAAATCCAGCACCATTTCCTCTTCCATATTTTGAGAAATAGTGTGCCTTTGTTTCTCAAGTTACCAAGACTTAAATATTTTTCCACCGTTTTACTTCTCGATCTGAACTCTTGGTTTACTTTATTATCATAAATATGAAGAGTGATTTCTAGCTAGAGTAATAGCTACTGATGACAGATACATTTATCACTGTGGAAAAAACACCTACGTCAGCTCTTTCTGAATTCTGACGCACAGATCAAAGCTTGGTAAGTCTTGGTAGTCTGAACAAGCGCCTTCTGGAGAAGTTTAAATGTAAAACAAAGATTTCCAAGTGCCATCATGGGTTAATAATTTTGAATCAGAAATTGTGAGAATGATGCCCAAGAATCAGCATTTTTAATAAATAAGCCTTGGGCCAAATTTGCAAGCCACTGACTTAGATCATCATACAATAAGATATTTTAATGCCACTTGGTTAAGTCTGGAATAATTTAATCCTTCTTTTATACTTAAGGGACTAAATCAAAAGGCACATTTTCCAGCAATATTAGTACTTCCAACTCTTCTTTTTCCAACAGTGACTTGATGTGTGTGCAGATCAATGTTAGTTTTATGTTACTATATTGGTGTTATTTTCTTTATTCCTTGCTGATACCCACTTTGGGACTCTGCATGCAAAGTGCCTGGATAATGATGTAACACAGAGAAGGGTCCTCACCTTGGGTTTTCCTCTAAGACTCCTCTGCTAGCATTCCTCAAGCTTGCCAGAGCAGTTTATGCACATAATTGATCTAATCTTTATTTATCAATGAAACTAGCCCTGCGGTTTTTCCCAGAAGACTCTTTGGATAACACAGAGGCACAACAGAAAGGGCACCATGTTAAAAATAGAATAAATAATATTTTACAGCCAAAATGATTGTCACCACCTGTTATATCTTTCTCATCTCTGGGTCTCTCCTTTAGATGCATTTTTTCCCAGAGATTTCTTCTAAGGCAGAACCAGCAGGGAAGAAAACAATCAAATGCTTTGCAGCCTGGAGTAAACTTTCACAGGACAGGAGAAGATGTGAGATTCTCAGCTTCTCCTCCCAATAAAAACAGCAGCAATGGAACAGCATCTCATATTTAGATTTCAACAGACTGGAGTAGGGACAGGGGACAGAAATTTTGCAAATGATGCAGCTTAGTCAATGAATGGCAACATTTCAGAAAGCTTAAATTCATATGATGAGGGAGGAGATATGTCTGGGAACGAAAGACTAGGGAAGAGTCTAGGTGTTTATTCAGCATCTTCACTGCCCCATCTCTGCACACAGTTTTTGCTCCATACCTTCTTTGCCACCAACACTACTGCCCAAGTAGTTGCTTCTACCACATTTACCACCACCATCACCTCCACCATCTCCACTGCCACAACCCCACCATCAGCATCACCCTCTCCACCACCATCCGTTCCACCATGACAATAACTTCCAATTCCAACTCCACTCTCATCTGGACTTTCAAACCTGCCACTTCCATCACCATCACCTCACCATTATCACCACTCATCCCACCACCCTCACCCCTCATGTCACCATTATCACCCCTCACCCCACCACCATCACCCCTTACTCCACCACCACTACCCACCAACCCCAGCTTTCCAGCTTCCTCCTGCTCACCTTCACGTTCTCTCTGCTGAGCAGAGGAGCTTCTTAACACTGGAGTTTAAACAATTGATGAAACATCATCCGTGTGTTCTCTCTACAATAGAGCAGAAAAGATACAATTTCTTTTTTGGACTCACATGAGTAATTCATATTTCCCATTTGCCTAGGGCCAGGTTTTCAAGAACAAAAGCTCTCAATAGGAGAGGCTGTCCGGAGACCTTGTATCTCTGCTCTGTATTTCCATCCCCAGCAGGAATGGTTCGGGGCACTGCTTGGCTTTGCCCTGGGTTACATTTTCCTCTATGCGAGTTTCCAACCTGAAGTCAGATCTGTTTAAAATAAAATGAAAGCCTCTGTCAGGGAGAAATATCAAAGGATGACTCTTGCCTAGAGGTAGCACCTACTTTTAATTTTTAAGTATTTTATAGAGAAACATGTAAATTTACACAATCTGCAGAATTGTTATTTGCAGGAACCTATGGTCTCTTCAGAGGGAAATTAGAAGTTAGAAAGTCTTAAGACCTTGGTTTGCTGTATTTTAAAAGGTTCAGTTTTTCTTAAAATGACGGTGTGAATCTTTTACTCAAGAATTGTAACTAGGCTGGTCACGGTGACTCATGCCTGTAAGCCCAGCGCTTTGGGAGGCCAAAGTGGAAGGACTGCTTGAGCCCAGGAGTTCACATGGCAAGACCTCATCTCTACAAAAAATTTTTAAAAACTAGCTGGGCATGGTGGAATGTGCCTGTCGTTCCAGCTACTCAGGATGCTAAGGTGGGAGGATCACTTGAGCCTAGGAGTTTGAGACTGCAGTGAGCTGTGATTGCATCACTGCACTCCAGCCTGGGCAACAGGGTGAGACATTGACACACACACACACACACACACACACACACACACAATTATAATTAAAAAAAAACGAGCAGTATCAATGTCTTTGTTCTCACCTCTGTATCTCTACAGCTTCCTCCTACTCCGACTTTCACCTCCACAGTCTTTTGTTTGTTTGTTTGTTTGTCTGTCTTTGTTTGCTTGTTTGTTTTTGTCTGTCATAAGCATTCCAAGATGAAAAACTGAGTGCCTGTCACAAAACTGAAAAAGTTCACAGCTCTGAGCTCACAAATACATGGTTTTGGGGTTACATAGGCCAGATATCCAGTTTATAAAACAAAGAAATATAGGCTTGGCTAATGCCCAAGGATAGAACACCACCCATGATTCCGTATTTTTTAAGATGCGATGGTTTCCCTGGGCAACAGTGTTGAATTACGTACATGCATCACGTACAGCTGTATACAGCGTGTGGTCCATATAAAATTAAGCCCACGAGGACTGATTCCATACAGGAAGCTCCTCATCTTCGTTTCCCTACTACATTTATCATAATAACAATTCAAATGGTCTGGATACTAAACATAACAATTCCTGAAAGGATCTTTCATTTTAGACTGCTTGAAACAATGATTTTTTGATAATGAGTGAGCACTCTGAATTGAAAATGATATACAATTTACTGCAAATAATCATACACTAAAAACATATATAGGAAGGAAGGAATTAACAAACTGGCTATAAACATATTTGATTCTCAATCCTAAGAGGACCACAAATTATATATATGAACTTTGATGAGTTGGGTTATCTGAGTTTTATTTTCTTGATTTGTAAACAGGAATAAAATACCAAAATTATAGACAATATTTGCAAAGTGCTTGGCTCCTGCACGCAGTAAATAGTGTCTCTACATACTTTGGCTTGTGCTCTTAGTCTTTAGTTCCTTCTCAACAATCCTGTGCCTAAGAAATAGGTATTGCTGGTTGGTATCTGCTGTACTGTATGATCTATGTTCTTTGCTCTTTGTTTCAAAATCTTACTACCTTATTCTAGTTTGGAGTCTTTGTGAGAGGCACAGGTACATGGTCTGATAACATTTTGAGTCTTTAATCCAAGTGCTTGTCACCATTGTCTTTGGCAGAAGCATTATGTCTATGGAATTAAATTTTTTTTTTTTTTCACTGTACAGTTTTAGTGTAGGAAGGGAGAGGAAACCACTTTCAGTGGGATCAGGTTTACTTGGCTTGGAGAAGAAACTGAATGTGGATTCCTCATCAAGAATATGCTTGTAACACTAGTAAATATTTCCCTAGTAACAATAGCTGGGAGGAGGAAATCATGTTTAATAACTTAATGCCAAATAGCCTGTGGCTTACAGTGGCACGCATGAACACACACACACACACACACACACACACACACACACACACACACACCACGAGCTGGCCATTAGCTCAATAACTGTTTTAAAACTCTATTATTTATCTCATTTTAGTAAATCAGATAATCAATATTTATCGATTATGTTCATCACCATTTTGGTAGACACTATGACGGATAACAAAAGGTAATAGGCATAGTCTCCACTTGGAAAGCCATTACAGTATTTAACAAAGCAATACAACCATTTGATACCAATTAAAAGTAAGTTTTGGTTTGGAATGGTAGTAACTTCCAGTGACGTGAGCTTTCAGAGGATGGCAGCTAGTTAATATAGTATTCTCTTTGAAAAAGACAACTGTTGATGTGTGGAGTGTTAGCTATGTTCAAATTGAGAACGTGAGTGAAGACTTATTATTCCCCTTCTGTTAACATCTCATCTCTTCATCTTTCTGGATCTTAGGCTTTTTTTTTTCCTCGACATTAGTACTGTACAATTGTAATATGTAATTTAAGATATTCTAATAGCCTCATTTTTTAAAAAGTAACAATAAGTATCTGGAATTAACTATAATGATATATTTTGTTTAATTTGATATATCCCAAATATTACCATGTCAGCATATTGCACTGGCACGTTTGAGGCACCCGATAGCTGCATGTGGTTAGTGGCTACCGTAGTAGATATGGTGGCTCTCGAGGGTCCTCATGCAGTGGCTGCAGGACCTGACCTGAGCTTCATCACATCTCTTATTTTAGAAAAAAAAAGCTGACTCCATTGATGGACGTTCAGCATTGTGTCAAGAACAGGGAATTTCTCCTGTCAAAGCCTTCTTTATTGTTTCTTCTTCAATTTACCCACAGCGGTCCTGGCTAGGATCCTGTCATGGTTCTCAGTCCTTCCCTCTTTCCTTCAGTTGCTGCTGTTGCTGTCCAGCTGAAGATTAAGGTAGAACCAACCGTGGAGGAGCTGCCATGGGCTTTTGTTGTCTACGGGTTTGGGGATGGGACATCCAGAGGGGCCTGGCAGGAGTTTAATTAGGATTACAGATGAGGGAGACAGAGGAAAGCAATGGCAAGAGAAGGGGGCAAACCTGAACAGAAGGTTCCCTCCACCCTTCTGCTCCCTCTCACTTCAATGCTGGAGTAATAGGATCTGCCAAATCTCACTTTCCCCACCTGGGATGGTGTTGGCAGGTGGTAGGGTCAAAGAGTAAAGAGAAGCGAGTCTCATGTGGGCATTTTCAATTCCATCACATACTTTTACTTACATTTGCATACAGGTCAGAGTCAAAAATATTCTATTTTGGTACCTGATCTGAAATTATTTGTAAATAAGACAATTAAATTCATTTACTCCAAAACCATCACCTCAACATCTGAAGAATGCCCAGCATTGAGCCAAGCACTCATGTACTAGGAAAGGTAGGAAGTGGCCCCCGTTCTCAAGGGTCCCTGTCACACATTAGCTAGGAAGTTTGGAGGGGTCATCAAACTGAAACTTTCCAGAAACATCTGTCTGCATTGAGGGTATATTCAGGACAGAAGGGTTACAATCATGTCTGCTTCATTTTTACTTGTATGTAGTATACTTTTTAAGTTGTTTTTCAAAAAAGTTAGTATCTAAGTGGACAAAATTAATAGGAGCAATTATAGGAGCATAACCTAGGTAGAGCTGCCTAATGGTTGACCTTCTAACAGTGGAATTTCAGTCATCACTAAATACGTAGAAGACGCATTCAGGGAATACACTGTCTTTCTACTCCCTCAATTATGTCACTGCTTTATCTGAGAGCAATGGAGTTGTGTAGGCTGGTGCACTGAAAACTGTCAATTGGGAGTCAAATATCTCTCATTTTTCAAGTAGTAGCCAGCCTCTGGGGTTTGAGCAGGTCCCAGTTCAGCCACCTGTTTTTTGTTTATCTTTGGCCAATCACTTAAATTTTCTTAGTTTTTTTTTTTTTTTCCACTTCTAAAATGAGACTAATAACTTCATCTAGTTACCTATCAGTTGCAAAGAAATGAGATAAAAAAGCTATCTATGAAGACACATCTCCTCAAATGTGTTTGGCATCCCAACAGTAAATATAGATCATGTTACTCTTGAAATAAAGGCCAAAAAATGTCTTCACTCCCCGTGTAGAATAAAATGCAGTCTGCTTATTACAGTCTTGACCATGCACACCAAGGGCACTGTCTCCAGCTGACACTGTGCGCCAGTCACGTTGGCCTCTAAACATGTTCCTCCCTTTGTTAGCCCTTTTTTGTCTTTGGAATGTTCCTCCCCAAGGGCAAAGGTCAACAAACTTTCACTCTAAAAGGCCAGATAGTAAATAGTTTCATCTTGGGGGCCATGAGGTTTCTGTCACAACTACTCAACTCTGCCATCAGAGAAGAAAAGCAGCCATAGGCAATACATAAACAAATGAGCAGGCCTCTGTTTCTCTGTTCCAACAAAACTTTATTTACACAAATAGGTGATGGGCTAGACTTGGTCCATGGGCCACCATCGTTTGCTGACCCCTCCCTAGACCTTTTCATAATGGCTTTTCTGATCATTTTAATCTCAGATCAATTAGGATCTAAGGCCTTCCTTGACCACTCTTTTGAACATCTCCCCACCCCATCTCTTGATTGTGTTGCTCCGTTTTATTGTTTTCTTATTATTTATAACCTCAATTATCTAATGTATTCATTCGCTTATTGATTTATTGTACACATCCATTTTCTGTACCACCATAATTCTAGTTCGAAGGGCAAGGTCTGGAAGAAAGTAGATGGTAGGTGCTCAATAAATGATTTGTTTCATGTGTGAATAAATAATTACCCAAAGAATAAAATTCCAGAAGGAAAATTCTGAATTTTAGTGATAGGAAGGCAAGAACGCTTGGGGGTAGTCAGAGGCACAGGAAGATCAGAAACTCCTGCAAACTATGAGCCTTCCATATAATCTTTCACAAATGAAGCTTCTAAAAAGCTGACCTGTATGAAACAAGGTAGTTTTTTATTGTTGTTGTCTGCGCATGATATAGACTGTTAATATCTCACTATTTTCTGGCTATAAAACAAGCATACTGATAACAGTAAAAATCAAAGGTATAAATAACCGGCCCATTAGCAGGCTGTATGCTTGGAAATGGTTTTGAGGGAGACTTTTAAAGGCAGCTTTTAATAAGACCAGCCATTCATTCCCCATGCAATCAATCAGCATTCTCAATCAAATGCCAATGGCATGCCTTTGTGGTTGCTACTGAGGATACTGGCAAAATGAGGCAGCCTCTGCCTTCTCAGCCATCAAGAGTAATTATGTAATGCCATATAGACAAAGATTAGACCTATAGTGATAGGGGGATATCAGCCAGTGTCCTGGCCAAAAAAAAAAAAAGGCTCACATGAAAGGATTTAACCAAAGAGATGTTAATGAAGCTATGCCACTCTTATGTACAGAGGTGAGGATGAGGCTAAAGAAACCATTCAGGAGATGTGAGGGACCCTGGGTCCAGCAACAGTTGGAAACCACTCTAACCTGTAGGCTAGAAGTCTTAGGGAGAAAATGATATTACCAGAGTCCAGTGAGAACTGATGCCTGAAGGAGGGGCCAGCCAATAGGAGTTCTGGCCGTAGAGAAATGTGGCTCTTACTAGAATCTCATCAAGACAAGCTTTCTATACTTCCACCCTGCCTGACATAACAGGAAGTCAGAGGGTAAGAGAGCTGGTGTATGCAATTCATGGGAGTCGGGCTTTCAGAGCACCAAGTAAGGTGGAGAAATGCATGTGACATTAAGAACTGAGAACAAAAGAAACATAACAGGCACAGTAGTAAGAGTAGGTAAGCCAGGTGATAAGAGAGATTGCATTTTGGAAGTCTGTATTTACTCCATTGATTTTATTTACTTTGCAATATGTGAATGCAGCAGAAAATAAGGGATTAAAAAAGCTTTTAGAAATGTGTATTTTTTAATACTTAAGGATGTAGGCTAGAAGAGTTCTAGGATTATTGGCAGAGTTTATCTAACTCAAGCCAATTCATGTGAAGTCAACCAGAGTCTTGAAGGATTAGAAAATACCTTTCTAGCCTGTTGCCTGGGGAAGAAACATTCCGAACTAAGGATAATCTTTTGCCTGGGAAGAAGAAACCATAGAGTAAAATTCATCACCAAGATAACATTGAATCTTCATTACTGCCCAAAAAGAGAGAGAGAGAGAGAAATTTAACATATTCCTGGTAATGAAGGTCAGTCACTTATAAGCAATAATTTCCTTTTTTTTGACCATTATCAATAAAAATGAAATCTCTCTTTAGCCTGCCAAAAGAAAAAATTATAAAAACAGGACCTGTTACAGGCTCTATTACAGAACTTTGAAACTGGTATCTTAGGACTATGCTCTCTAACAGAGGGTCATTTCTTCAAGTAACTATATGTTGAACTCTTATTATCAAATGATGAATTCCAGTCTCCCAAATTACTACTTGCTTTTATTAATTGAGTTAGTGATGCATTACCTCACTTTGTTGCATAGTTTTTGGTCCACCAAGTGGCTGCACGAAAGAAGGAAATGAAGTGCTGGGGATTTCCTTAGGCGATTACAAGAAGACAACTTTTAATACCAAAGTATTTATCATTTATGATTTTCCTAGTTGTCTTGCAGTGATCTAAGCAACTTGTTTTGTGATTTATTATAGATCTTATTTAGGTCTGTTTTTTTAAAGAGAAGTTTCAAGGAAAAAGGAACCTCTATAAAATAATTTCAGTCGGTGTCGCTGTTCAGTAGATGACATCTGCTGGAATGAATATGGTCTAGATGCTGCTCCATCTCCTTTACAGATTGTATGCTTGTCTAGAGGATGTATGCCACATTTTATCCATGAACCTTTTCTACCACACGCACCATTCTTTATCCCCATGCCCCATCATTACGCCAATGCCATTCCCTAATAAATGAATGTGAGGGGTTTTAATTATTTTGTGCCAAATTTCTTCAAGCAACTATATGTTGAACTCTTATTATCAAATGATGAGTTTGAGTCTCCAAAATTACTACTTGTTTTCATTAATTGACTTAGTGATACGTTACCTAACTCTGTTGCATAGTTTTGGTCCACTAAGTGGCTGCAGGAAGGAAGGAAATGAAGTGCTGGGCATTTCGTTAGGCGATTACAAGAACACAACTTTTAATACCAAAGTATTTATCATTTATGATTTTCCTAGTTCTCTTGCAGTGAGCTAAGCAACTTGTTTTGTGATTTATTTATTGGAACTTACTAAGCTTTTTTTTTTTTTTAGATAGACGTTTCAAGGAAAAAGGAAGTTTCATAAAATAATTTCAATAGATGTCTCGTTAAAATTCAAGTTGATTTCAGTGCTATTCTGACCTAGCTACCAACTAGCTTTGAGACCCCAAACAAGCCACTTACCCTCTGTGATCCTCAGTTTTCTCATCTCTAAAATGAGGGGGATGGGCTAAGTTGTCCCTAAAGCCCTCTAAAGTGCTACATGCTGTAATTATGAGTCTATGTTATCCCCGGAAATATCATGAAAAATAAAAATAAAATTGATTGAGTTGAAAATGGTCCAACAGTTACAAAGAAATATTTGACATTGTAATCATGCATCAGTTAGTTTTTGGCTCTTTAATTTTGAAAGCAGATGTTTGATTGCTTGTTTAAAGCCTGCGTAAAAAACCCCAGGCAAACCTTGCAAAAGCTCAAAATATTCTTAAGCAGGGATATCAATTGCATAATTTCCTAGACCTTGCAGATTGGTTCAAATTAACCCACAGCATATTTGAAAGCCTTTTTCTTTTGTGAGCATCTAACCAATTCCCCATTGCTCTCCTCCTGGGTATCTATTCGTTATCAAAACCGGAAGCACAGTGTGGCATCCAAATTGGAGTTCAGTGTCAGCAGAGGTTACATTTGTACATTTCCCAGAAAAGGAACAATTATTGTCATAGGAGAGGATTAATGTACGGCCATTTTGGGTCTTTATTATAATCTTTTCTTTAAGAATGAGGAATTGGAATGTTAATGTATTCAATAATCTATGAATTATACAGGTATGCTATAGTGCTTTGACCTTTTCAACATTTGGTAATTTTGATTGAGTGGCTGTTCTGAGCCTGTTCTTTTTAACAGCTCTATTATCCTGTGGAAAAGAGGAAGGCTAGCCAAATTTCAAAAACACATTTATCCCGAAGCAAGAATAGAGGGAATTAGTTACAATGTGCCAGAGAGAGTGCAAGATGACTTACAGACCTTCTCTGATGTAACCTCAACAACATCTCATGAGATAATATTATTATCACCATTTTACAGATGAAGAAATTGGGACCCAATGCATGCCTCATGGGTAAGAGGCAGAGGCAATAATAATCCCAGTACTATATGATATCAACATCTATACACTTGCACAAAGGTAAGAGGGAGAGGCAATTATTACCCCTGTACTATGTGATACCAAATTCTATACACTTCCTACTCAACAGGTCTTTGATTTTTGAAAGTAGTAAGTGTATCTATTAAGCAGTAAATACCTGTAAACATCCTGCATTAGACTGTTCTCACACTGCTAATGAAGACATACCTGAGACAGGGTAATTTATAAAGGAAAGAAGTTTAATTGACTCACAGTGCAGCATGGCTGGGGAGGCCTCAGGAAATTAAAAATCCTGTTGGAAGGCACCACTTCACAGGGCATCAGGAGATGGAACGAGTGCTGAGGGGAAGGGGAAGCCCTCTATATAAAACCATCAGACCTTGTGAGAACTCACTCACTATCACAAGAACAGCATGGGGGAACTGCCCCCGTAATCTAATCACCTCCCATGAGTTCCCTTCGACAAAACATGGGGATTATGGGAACTACAACTGGCGATGAGATTTGGGTGGGTGCACAGCCAAACCATATCATTCTTCCCCTGGACCCTCCCAAATCTCATGTCCTCACATTTCAAAATGATATGTCTCCGATGAGTGGAGGAACACCCGGTTCTTCATCTTCAGTCAAATTAGATAAAACAACATGGATACACATGGAATGGTTTTGAGAAGTGGAGAGTTTAATATGCAAGAAGGAAGTGGGGAGAAAGAAAGAAGCAGATCCCTGGTACACAGACAGAGGGAGGGGGCCTCCAAAGCCAAAAGAGGGAACTTCAAGTGCCAAGGATACCAGCCAGTTTTATGAGTAGGCTGGAGGAGGTGGTGTCTGATTTGCATAGGGCTCACGGGATTGGTTTCACCAGGTATGTCGTTCACATAGCCCGTGAAAAAGCTGGCCCTCCCACCCTAGCCTGTTGATATGCAAATGCAGGGCACCATGATGTTCTACACACTGGGGATATGTGGGGGTGGCTATGCTGCTAGGCATATGTGAGGGCAAGGATAAGAGGACAATGGTGGTGAGAATTGCCATGTTTGATGGACTCAGTTTCTAATGGCTGGCATTTGCACATCAAAGATTGCCTGCCAGGCTCTAAAAGTGGGGGTTTTCCTTCTAGACAAGAAGCATTTTTGCAGCTGCTTTAAAAGAAACGAAAACTTTTTCTATCTGCCTAAAATAATTTCTTAATAACTCCTACCACAAAAACACAACCCCACTTTCCCAACAGTCCCACAAAGTCTTAAGTCATTCCAGCATTAACTCAAAAGTTCGAGTCCAAAGTCTCATCTGAGGCAAAGCAAGTCCCTTCCACCTATGAGTCTAAAACAAAAAGGAAGTTAGTTACTTCCTAGATACAATGGGGTACAGGCATTGGTTAAATACATCCTTTCCAAATGGGAGAAATTGGCCAAAACAAAGGGGCTACAAGCTCCATGCAAGTCCAAAATCCAATAGGGTAGTAATTAAATCTTAAAGTTCCAAAGATGATGTCTTTTGACTCCATGTCTCACTTCTTCTGAGTCATGCTGGTGTAAGAAGTTGGCTCCCACAGCCTTAGGCAGCTCCACCCCTGTGGTTTTGCAGAGTACAGCTCCCCTCTTGGCTGCTTTCATGGGCTGGAGTTGAGTGTCTGTGAATTTTCCAGGTACATGGTGCAAGCTGTTAGTGAATCTACAATTCTGGGGTCAGGAGGATGGTGGCCCTCTTCTCACAGCTCTACTAGGTCCACCAGGCAGTGCCCAGTGGGGACTCTGTGTGAGGGCTCCCACCACCCATTTTCCTTCCACACTGCCCTAGCAGAGGTTCTCCATGACGGCTTTGCCCCTGCAGCAGACTTTGCCCCTGAACATCCAGATGTTTTTTTACATCCTCTGAAATCTAGGCGGAGGTTCCCAAACCTCAGTTCATGACTTTGGTGCACCCACAGGCTCAACAGCACTTGGAAGGTGCCAAACCTTGAGGCTTGCACTCTGAAGCCATGACCCAATCTGTACCTTGGCCCCTTTTAGCCACAAATGGAGCGACCGAGACACAGGACACCAAGTCCCTAGGCTGCACACAGCAGGGGGCCCAGGGCCTGGCCCATGAGACCATTTTTTCCTCTTAGCCTCTCAGCCTGTAATGGGAGGGGCTGCCACAAAGGTCTCTGACATGCCCTGAAGACATTTTCCCCGTTGTCTTGGTGATTAGCATGTGGCTCCTTGTTTCTTATGCAAATTACTGTAGCAGGGTTGAATTTCTCCCCAGAAAATTGGTTTTGCTTTTGTATTGCATTGCCAGGCTGCAAATTTTCCAAACTTTTTTTTTTTTAATGCTTTAAGTTCTAGGGTACATTTGCACAATGTGCAAGTTCGTTACATATGTATACATGCGCCATGTTATGCTCTGCTTCCTCTTGAATACTTTGCTGCTTAGAAATTTCTTCTGCCAGATACTCTAAATCATCTCTCTCAAGTTCAAACTTCCACAAATCTCTAGGACACGGGCAAAATGCCACCAGTCTCTTTGCAGAGCAAGAATGACATTTACTCTAGTTCTCAACAAGTTCCTCATCTCCATCTGAGACCACCTCAGCCTGGACTTTACTGTTCATATCTCTGTCAGCATTTTGGCCAAAGCCACTCAACAAGACTCTAGGAAGTTTCAAATTTTCTCACATTTTCCTATCTTCTTCTGAGTCCTCCAAACTGTTCCACCCTCTGCCTGTTATCCAGTTCCAAAGCTGTTTCCATGTTTTCAGGTATCTTTACAGCAGCACCCTACTCTACCGGTACCAATTTACTGTATTACTTCTCACATTGCTAATAAAGACATACCCAAGACTGGGTAATTTATAAAGGAAAGATGTTTAACTGACTCACAGTTCAGCATGGCTGGGGAGGCCTCAGGAAAGTTACAATCCTGGGGGAAGGGAACTCTTTGCAGGGAGGCAGAAAAGAGAATGAGTGCCAAACAAAACGGGAAGCCCTTTGTAAAACCATCAGATCTCATGAAAACTCTGTCATGAGAACAGCATGGGAGAACCACCCCCATAATCTAATCACCCCCCACGAAGTCCCTCAAGCAAAACATGGGAATTATGGGAAATGTAATTCAAGATGAGATCTGGGTGGAGGCACAGCCAAAACATATCCCATCTTAAAATTTTATCTTATTCCACATTGAGCTTTCAAGCATTTATTAGTACTTATGATGCCCTGTAACCTTCTGTAGCTGGTAGAATGATGAAAAAGACCAAAATTCCCCACCCCAAAGGAGATTAGAGCTGCGGAGTATATTGACTCAGGGTTATGGGAACACAAAAGAGATGGTGAAGCACCCAGAGATGAGTGATTCTGGTGAACTGGTATGTAACACTTCTGCTCAGAGCATAAGGAACAGTGGAAGGAAACAGTGTTACCAGGGCCATATGGAAATTTGAACAGTGGATGTAGGACTACCCAGTAGGAGCTACTTCCAAAAATGGTATGCTATGGCTAGAAAGGAGGGAAATAAAATAACCCATTCTCTCTGTTGTTCTCTGTTCTCTTACCAGTGTCCCCCATTAGCTGAATCCAGCCAGATGTCAGCCATCACAAAAACTCAGTCTCTAAGGGTTTCACTCAGAGCAGGGCAAGGATGGATGGAAAGGGACTGGGAGGAAGGCATGTAGAATCATCAACAGAAGGGCTTTCCAAAACTAAAGAATAATGTGGCTTGAAGATAAAGTCACATCTCCATTTCTTTCAAAACAGAGTACCAGCAATTTTTAATTGATTTTTTCCTCAGCTTCTACTTACCAAAATTCTCTGGAGTTTTAACCAGAGTAGTCTTATGTGTGGAATGAAGAGGGGAATAAATGGTACCAAGGATAATAGGATGAGCTCAAATCAGTCTGTGCTTATGACCTTAGTGTTAATACTGTGAAATGAAAGAAATATCGTCATTTCTCATTTTGGTGTAGAGATGCTAATTCTACACTCCTCTTCAAATTACTGAGATAATAGTATGTGACTGATGATGAATTCCTAGATAACACTGGGCTGTGTGCCTTTGAAATATTGAGAGAAAAACTCATGATATTGATAGTCCATTAGACTAGAAGATGAGATTTCAAAATGACAATGGTAATGAGGGTTCGTTTTTGGCAACCACCTTGATTCAGTTCTATAAAAGGCAAAGAAATAAATACATGACTCCCCTGAGTGACATTTAGACAAAAGGTGGTTCTGTGCCATTGTCGGATAGCTTTCAAAATCAATGGATTCAGCAAGTTTTGTTCATTTCAGATATTTGGTACATCAGAGTTCCATGTTAGTTTTTTTTTTTATTTTAAGATTTAATTATTAGAAATAAATGTACTTAGAATATTGGAGACAGGAAAGAATATTAGGAAATTTTGTTATTGCTAGGAAGAATCTAAAAATAGCGTTAATTGATTAAAAAGTGAATTATTGTGTTAGAAACTTTGTCTTTTAACAATTACAAACCAAAATTCTAAAGGAATATCTAAAAAGCTTATGTAATAAAGTTTCAGAAGACTAGGAAAAATAGCCTTATAAGCTCTAGATCCTCTCTAACAGAGATACTGTTGTAGGTAAAGGAGACACATGCTCCAATAATAAGATGAAACCCTGGTAACCCTGGAGTGGCATCCTCTAGCAAACAGGAGAGTAGGCTTTGGTTTGATTCACTCAACAAGTGCTCATTGAGAATCTTCTCCGTGCAGTTAACTCAATGCTGTGGAAGGTATAAAGCTATCATAATATCAGCTGTAGACAAATGAAAAGGAATGCAGTTATCAAGAACTTCAGAGAAGTGCACTTTTTGCTGAGAGCTTTGGTAACCTCATCTGTCAGTGTAAAATCAATCAGGGATCTTCCCTGTAGGCTCCGAGAGTGACTATATATTTCTCCCTTCAAAATGTTTTATCCAAGATAATTAGTTTAACATTTAATATCTGGGACTTCCTCACAGGAGGAAAATGTCATGAAAGAGGAAAGCATTGGAATCTAGAAAGTGATAATATAAAAGTTGAAAGAGGCATATTTAGTCTGCTTTGCCTTTGAGAGGAATTGTATGCCTGTTGAGTTCTATTTCTTTTACCTTCATGTGCTGGCTGGCTGAGTCACTGGGCAACTGGGACCCAGGGTGTCCACCTGACCAGGTATAATTTCAATCATGCATACAGTTGTCCCAGGATTTTCTTGGGTTATAGAATATTTTCTAAACATAAAGAAGCTATCTCTCTTGCTTCTCTCCCGAAGAATTACTTTCTTATCAGCTTAGGCATAAACCGAAAGGATGCTCAATTATATGTGCATAAAATAATGATTCATTGAAGCATTCTATGAATTTTATGTTCCCCCCCAACTCCAAACACAGACCCAGAATTTGAGATAAAGAGACATATGCAATTTAATATTATTTAATGCGTGACGAGTCTGATGGAATAGATATTCAACTCAGTGACCTTGAAGTATAGAGTGGCTAGTATGAACAGTTTGCATGCTACACTGTATAGCCTAAATAACAGAGGGCATAATAAAGTAAAAACTGTAAGGTTGTGATCAGCTTCTACTGGTGAGGGAGAGAGATGATTAATGGTGTAACGAAGAAATTATCATGGTGTTTCTATTTTCTACAAAGCTGTTTTCAGCTTCAAATTAGAAGTTACTCTTTTTGCCAAAAAGAGTGGGGTATAAACCACATTCCAATTGCTGCAATAATTCTGACAAACTCAAAGGCAGATAGCAAAGCATCTGGAAATGGGCAGATCAAAATGTTGTCTTGAAAAATAGAAAAACAACCTTTCCAATGGAAAAATACCTGGTTTGTAGCATTTTGCAGCATATGTAATGTATAGAGTAAAATGTATGCCCTGGGTAGCTAAGAAGAGAATAAAAATGAATTAGGAGAACCTAAATAATAAAATAATGTTGTTTTCATAATTATATATAATGGGAACAATTTATTTACTGACTTCACTGAAACATGATGTTTCAGAGCTTTTAATCGGCTTGTGAAATGTTAGAATTATTTCTGTCTCAAAATATGTAAAAGTATGGTGGAGGAGAAATAGTAATACCTTTTCCTCACCCAGGGACCTATGGAAAAGGTCATGCCTGACACCTCTAATCCAAAAGATAGACTGGCAAATTAAAAGCATAAAAAGTTTATTTATCAAAATTTCATGTGGCATGGGAGCTTTTGGAATTAAAGTTGCAAAGGGCCAGAGAAAATTTTTTATTTTTTTTGAGATGGAGTCTCCTCTGTCACCCAGGCTAGCGTGCAATGTCATGACCTCAGCTCCCTGCAACCTCCGCCTCCCAGGTTCAAGTGATTCTTCTGCCTCAGCCTCCCAGCTAGCTGGGATTACAGGAGCATAACCCCATGCCTGGCTAATTTTTGTATTTTTAGTAGAGATGGGGTTCACCATATTGGCCAGGCTGGTCCCATCCTCTTGGCCTTGTGATCTGCCTGCCTCGGCCTCCCAAAGTGCTGGGATTACAGGCGTGAGCCACCGTGCTGGGCCAAGAAGACTATTTTTATTGCTAAGTCTGATGAAAGAAATGGATAGTTGTAGAGAAACATGATTGGATAACAGGAGTATGATCTAATGGTAATGAACTGGAGACAACTTCGCAAGGCCAGATTCTTCTCTGTGTTTCTGTAAGCCATTCATTGCCCCTGGGTATCAGGAAGCACATCTGTCACATGAGGATCTGGGAGGTGGTGAACGTCAGAGAGTGATTTTTCTAGGTTTTATGGCTTGTTTGGGGGTCAGGAGGGGGCGATTTCTCATTCCTGTGACCTGCTTGGGGGAGAAAAGGATGTTAAGTTCTCTTATGGGAGTTTGCAGATACTGTTTTGACTCTGAATATAGAGACTTTATAACTAAGCCATGGTCCTCAAATCAAAAGTAATCCGTATGTGGTAATCTGGAGAGGTGTGTAATAATTATTCTTGTAGATTCAGACCATCCTAACCATAATCAATGCTGGGCAGGTAATAGGAGATGTTTTATGGCAAATGATTCAGTCAATGTTCCAATTATTGAAGCTCTATGTAGGAGAAAGACAACTGTAGATACTGGTTTGTCTATAGATCCATTGAAAAAAACTGGGGTACTGACTTGTTGACCATGACTCATGGGGACAAGACCACAACTGCAGCTTAGTATCTAATTATGGCCATAAGCCACCAACTACTTAATAATTGTCTATATCTAGTAAATATGGCATATATGTTTACGGTATATACCTGGACTCCTAGTATTCTCTTTGAGCCACTTTTTTGATTTATTAATTGTTACTTGCTTTGTGTGTGTGTGTGTTTGTGTGTGCATGCATGTGTGTGTGCATGTACAAGTGTTTAATCCATTAGTCTCTTAGCATATAAAAATGTTTTTCTTGTAAAAAGATGCCTACCTATTTAGCCTGTGCAGTGGAGGAAGCTGGGGGAGGTAGATCAAGTACAACTGAGAATTTTGTGAGGATTCAAAGGCTCAACATTTTTACTTCCTTGTGAGCCTTTCTGCCTTGCAAAGGTCAACACACTCACGTCTCTTCCCCCTCCAGCAATAGTGTTTTCAGATATGAGCAAAATATTTTACCTCAAGTTTCACCATTTTCTTTTTTTACAATAACAGAAAGCAGATTTTTATTCAGAGTACACTTACAGTGGCTTTGTTTTTCTTGCTTTGTAGAAAAAAACAGCATTTATTTATTTATTCATTTTGTTGTTGTCAGAGTCAAAATGTAAATTTCTTCTTCCATTTACTTTGACATTGCACTGTATATGTACTATTTTTGAAAAGAGTGGCATATTCTGTGAACAGGTCTTTCAGAGACAAAGGAAATAAAACATGGAGAACAATGCAAGTTTCATCCTCTGATAATGGGTAGATGGTCTACGGCCATACCACCCTGAACACTCCCCGTCTCGTCTGATAATGGGTAGATGTTCTCAAAAGGCAAAGTATATGAAAAACTTTAATGTAAGAAGAACATAACATAACTTTTATATACAATTATATAATTCAACATAACGTTAATCATCATTTTATTAGCACTTTTTTATCATTGTTAGATATAGAAACATAGATGCATTAATATATACATAAACATGACATATTTCTACATGCACACAAATATGGAGTTAACGTTTATTTAGAATCTACTAATATGCTTGTGGTAGAACTACAAAGATGAATTATATGAAAATCTTATAGTTTAGATGGAGGTAACTTAAACTACACATAAAATTCCTGGAATAGCGCCTTCCATGAACAAGGCACTCAAGGAAAATTTGTGCAATAAATGAATACATAAAACAACACAAGTACAAAGCAGCATGTGCTGTTTGGTAAGCTAAAATGCACCAGAAGGTTCAAGAGTTAAAAGACATAGAAGAAGCCTGAAGGCAATGAAACTATTGATGTATTTGCAGAGAAGTTAGTCATTGAAGTGTCCAAGCAGGCAGGTGCACATGCACTGGGATGCAGCTATGCAGGTTGGAGGAGGCAGGCTCCGCAGATAGGGAGAGAAGAAAGCGGTGTATCTGATTTTCTTTTCTTTTCTGTTTTTGGAGAGAGATATTGAAAATGAATAAACAGTCCAGGGCATAGAAAAGTTTGTGCAATAGGGGAAAATAAAGTAAATTCAAGGGAAAATAATAGTCTAAGGTCTCCTATAAAAATAGTCTAGTTACTAGGCCAGGTGCGGTGGCTCAGGCCTGTAATCCCAGCATTTTGGGAGACCGAGGAGAGTGGATCACGAGGTCAGGAGTTCAAGACCACCCTGGCCAAGATGGTGAAACCCCATCTCTACTAAAAAACTACAAAAATTAGCCAGGCACTGTAGCAGGCAACTGTAATCTCAGCTACTCGGGAGGCTGAAGAAGGAGAACTGCTTGAACCGGGGGCAGCAGAGGTAGCAGTGAGCCAAGATCGAGCCACTGCACTCCAGCCTGGGCGACAGAGTGAGACTCCATCTCAAAAATAAATAAATAAATAAATATAAATAGACTAGTTACTGATGAGTATAGCTATTTACAAAGGGACACATAAGACGTTTTTGTCTTTTTTTTTTTTAATTTTTTTTTTTTGAGACAGAGTGTCGCTCTTGTCACCCAGGCTGGAGTGCAATGGCAAGACCTCGGCTCACTGCAACCTCCGCCTCCCAGGTTCAAGCAATTCTCCCGCCTAAGCCTCACAGGCGCCTGCCACTACACTCAGCTAATTTTTTTTTTTTTTGTATTTTTGGTAGAGATGGGTTTTCGCCATGTTGGCCAGGCTGGTCTCGAATGCCTGACCTCAGGTGGTCCTCCCGTCTCAGCCTCCCAAAGTGCTCGGATTACAGGCGTGAGCCACCGTGCCTGGCCGGACGTTTTTTTTTAAGAGAAGGACAGAAGTCAAGTTATGTATCTTCTTAAATAGGGAAATACATTTTACTTCCTCTACCATTATTACTATTTTTTCAAGGTTCCTAAAATAGTTGTCATTTTACATAACGTTTTCAAACATCTGTGACAGATCTTGAAAGCGTCACTATGCGTTTCCTTAAAAGAACACCCATTTCAGAACCCGTGTCGTCTCTTTTTCTTCCTTTTCCACTTCCACGTCCATGCGATCAAGTTGGGTTCAAGCTGCCGCTGCGGCCTGTCTTGAACCCACCCATTTTCCTCTAAGCTCTGCTGCCCTGGGCCTACTGACTCCTGTCCTCTCACTGTCCTTACTGCTGTCCTCTCCTGGGCTGATGGCCGAAAACGCCTCCCTCACGGGCTCCTCACCCTAAGTAGGTAGGTCTCTCCCACCTTCCATCTAATTTTCACAGTCCCATCAGAATTTTCTTTATAAAGGCTGGTATGGCTACCTAAGTTCCCGTTATTGCCCAGAAGATAATCCCAAACTGCCTAATATGGTATTGATAGCTCTCAAAATGGGGCCATCGAGTACCCCCCTTACACTATCTCCCATTCGTTTATCCCATCTACACCGAGATTCAGTCAACCTGCTTTGCTTTTCCCAAATAGTCAAAGATGACGCATGTTTCCCATCCTCTGTTCTGTGCTGTTCATTCAAGTTTTTTCCTTGCCTGGAGTATCCTCCTTTCTTTCTTTTAGTCAGAAAAGTTCTATTCACATTTCAAGATCCATAAAATGTCACGTTCTGTTTACTCACTTATTGTAAAAACGTGTACTCTCTTAACTTCGCCTTTCTATTTATACACAACTTACATGTACGTAAATGTGCCTTCTCCCCTCCCCGTTACACCCAGCACACATATTGCCTAGCACACAGTAGGTTCATAAGAACTGTTGAATGAAATTTTCAAATCGAAGCAGATATAACAACCTCTTATTTTTTTTAAAACCACTTTTGTCAATTTATTCAGCCTAATGAATATTTTTCTATATATCTGCCATATGTATAGAAAAGTTTATACATAGTTTCTTTATCAGGCCTAACAGAATAACTTTTACTGTATTAAATAGTAACTTACTCAACTTGTCAAACTGGAGAGGCAATTGATTTGAGTATTAGGTCTTTACATTGCATCAACCAAGTTGATTAGTCATTTTTAAATTTATCATTAGTTAACATTAAAAAAAAAGTTAAAAACAAGCATTGCTCAAGCCCCCTTGTTTCGTGTTTGGCACACTGCATAGCTTTTAATAAAAAGTTATTTTTCAACCTGCAGTGGAATATTTAAACATCCATGCAAAGATTTTTTTTTTTTTTTTTTTTTTTTTTTTTTTTTTTTGCTAAATTTTCAAAGAACATCAGAAATGTTGTATTAAAAAACAGATGATGGGGCAGTAAAGACTTTTTTATTTGGTAGTAGAAACATATGGGGAAATAAAATGTATTAATGTTGTAATTATAACATTCCAATGTTTCTGCTTTCTCAAGTTTTTATACTAAAAATCTTTCAATAGAACATAACTTTAAAGATAGTTTTCTTTATACTAGGTTCATGCATTTGTGTCCCATATTTCACCATAAGGGATATTTGTAATATATTTCTGGAATGGGAAATGGGTCAACTATCTAGCTGTCCAGTATTTCACATTTATGAACAGAACCCCCAAACTGAAAATTAGCCTTGGGTGTTTCATAACTTAGGACCAACTCAGAAATGTAGGCTTTGGAAAGCAAATAACTGTGATCCAATTTTCGGGAAGCAGGTTTGTCTTTTATGGCAAAGAAGAGTGATCCCAGTTTTAATTACAGGCATTGAGTGTCCCTAGCCAAAACTCAGTCTGAGGTGTTTCAGCATGGAAGATCATTTGGGAAAGCTGGGTTTGCAGAAAGCACGAGCAATAAAGACATAACATATAAACAGATATTCTGCACGTAGTTTGCAAAATCTTAACCTCATCAAAAGAAGAGATCAAAATTCTATTTAATGCAATTGGAGATTAAGTTGCAGAGTACAATTTAACTGAAATACAGTACCACATTCATACTTCAAATGGTTTATCAAAAGAAAGACTAAAAAAGACTGGTTATGTGTCTATATAAGGTTTGCTCTTCTCTTTCTCTCTCTTTAATTAAAAAAAATATATATATATATAATATATATGTATATATATAACCAAGGCAAAAAGTAAGAGGTTGATGCTCTCTGTCCAAACCTCTCTTCTCTCTCTTTTTTTAAATATGTGCTTAATATATTCCTATCTTCCCAATATTTTAATTAAGAACAATGTTTGCACACATTTAAATGAGTGACATCTTTGCTTAAATTTGTTTTTGACTAATTATTTTCCACGTGTTTTCACCTTCCAACACTACCTTAGTCCTAAGTTATGAAATACTCAATGCTCTTCATAAAATATCTTGAAATAACTTTTTATTTCAAAATTAAAATTAAATCACATAAAAGTATGTTCTTAAATAGACTATAGTTTTCTTAGATCTTGTTGAGATTAAAAACAAGTGTGATCTGGCCCTGGCCGGGGGTGGTGGCTCACGCCTGTAATCCCAGCACTTTTGGAGGCCGAGGCAGGTGGATCAGGAGGTCAGGAGATCGAGACCATCCTGGCTAACACGGTGAAACACCGCCTCTACTAAAAACTACAAAAAAATTAGCCGGGCGTGTTGGTGGGTTCCTGTAGTCCCAGCTACTCAGGAGGCTGAGGCAGGAGAAATGCTTGAATCCAAGAGTTCGAGGTTGCAGTGAGCCGAGATCGCACCACTCCACTCCAGCCTGGCGACAGAGCGAGACTCCGTCTCAAAATAAATAAATAAATAAATGAATAAATAAACAAATTACCTTTAACTTAGTATGACCATTTTGGATTGCTGTAAAATATTCCATAAAATAGTAAGAGCCTTCAAATGTAACTTAGAGTAAATGGGCAAATATTATTTTTCCTATTTACAGAGATATCTAATAGCCCAAACAAATATTTGAAATCAAAGTTATATTTGAATGCATTTCTGAATAGATGAAGGGATAAACAGATAGTAATATAAAGGAGTTCTGCAATGCTATGTCTATAGACCTCATGCCAAAAATGGGGACATGAGTCAAGTCTACCTAACATGTTTCTATTTTCTAAAAAAAAAAATTTAAGTACTTTAAATGCTTATGCTTTGAATAAGAATAATTGCCATTTCAAAAAATGTAACTAAATATGTATGCATGCATCTGTGTGTATACAGAGACAAGCAGTGATTTATAATTTTGAGAAATACGATATTCTGATTCTGATTAAAATAGCTAAAATTCACAAATTCAAAGTTGTGAAACTAAAAAAGAAATTTTTTTAGACTTGTGGATTAAAATCTTGGCATTCTACTCATTTAACTGTATTTATCTATGGCATTTTCATTTGGCATAATTTTCATATATTTTGTAATAATATCACATTGGCTGCATAATATGAAGTCCCTTGAAAGAAACTAGATTTCAATTCTGTGGAAGAAATAATTTATGATGTAAGAGTTGTGATTATACAGCCAATATGAGTTAATTCTTTAAAAAAAAAAACTAAATTGATCAAGCAAAAAAATGTACTCACTTGTTTGAGAATGTCAATCATTTTCAATTAAATTATCTAGATGTTTCCCAGGTTTCAGCTGATATATTTTTCTTAGGAAATAATATTTTATCTCATTAAATTATTTCTCTTGAATACAAAAAATCTTTATTTAGCCATCAGACCAAAAATAAATAAATAAATAGGGACAGCTCAGAAGGAGTGAGCATAGTTCTTTCTCTTCCAAACATACAGGTGGAACGTATAGTGCTAACAGGGAATATTCTGTGACATCATAATTTTGGGCACTGAATTTTGATTGCAGTGTGTTCTTCAGAGTCAGGCACCTCCAAGTCTGCCTCTTAATACTGCCAGCTGATGCCTCTAAGCCTCAGTTTTCACATCAGCCAATGTGACCACTATTACATACGTCATTGTGCTACTGTCAGGATGACATAAAGATGCTGCATAGAACACGTTTAGCCCAAAGCCTGGCACGTGATAAGAATACAATAAACTATACCTATAGTCAGGGCAACAGAAAGACAAGAATTGATATGGTCAAAATCATAAACCCTCTTTTTGTCCTACGGAAGGCACAGGCAAGAATTTGGATGACACATGGTGGTGCTTCTGCCCTTACTAGTGACCTAAAACCAATCTGCCAAAGTATAATGATTGAGTTTTGCAGAACTGTTGCTAAGAGATATATAGGTGTATATGTACATGTATACGTATATAAACATATACACACACCTATGTATATATAAGCCATATCTACACACCTATGTATATATAAGCCATATCTACGCACCTATGTATATATAAGCCATATCTACGCACCTATGTATATATAAGCCATATCTACGCACCTATGTATATATAAGCCATATCTACACACCTATGTATATATAAGCCATATCTACACACCTATGTATATATATAGGCCATATCTACACACCTATGTATATATAAGACATATCTACACACCTATGTATATATAAGCCATGTCTACACACCTATGTATATATAAGCCATGTCTACACACCTATGTATATAAAAGACATGTCTACACACCTATGTATATAAAAGACATATCTACACACCTATGTATATATAAGCCATATCTACACACCTATGTATATATAAGCCATATCTACACACCTATGTACATATCAGCCATATCTACACACCTATGTATATATAAGCCATATCTACGCACCTATGTATATATAAGACATATCTACGCACCTATGTATATATAAGCCATATCTACGCACCTATGTATATATAAGCCATATCTACGCACCTATGTATATATAAGCCATATCTAAGCACCTATGTATATATAAGCCATATCTACACACCTATGTATATATATAGGCCATATCTACACACCTATGTATATATAAGACATATCTACACACCTATGTATATATAAGCCATGTCTACGCACCTATGTATATATAAGCCATGTCTACGCACCTATGTATATATAAGCCATGTCTACACACCTATGTATATATAAGCCATGTCTACACACCTATGTATATATAAGCCATGTCTACACACCTATGTATATAAAAGACATATCTACACAACTATGTATATATAAGCCATATCTACACACCTATGTATATATAAGCCATATCTACACACCTATGTATATATAAGCCATATCTACACACCTATGTATATAAAAGACATATCTACACACCTATGTATATAAAAGACATATCTACACACCTATGTACATATCAGCCATATCTACACACCTATGTATATATAAGCCATATCTACACACCTATGTATATATAAGCCATATCTACACACCTATGTATATATAAGACATATCTACACACCTATGTATATATAAGCCATATCTACACACCTATGTATATATAGGACATATCTACATACCTATGTATATATAGGACATATCTACACACCTATGTGTATATAGGACATATCTACACACCTATGTATATATATAGGCCATATCTACACACCTATGTATATATAAGACATATCTACACACCTATGTATATATAAGCCATATCTACACACCTATGTATATATAAGACATATCTACACACCTATTTATATATAAGCCATATTTACACACCTATGTATATATAAGACATATCTACACACCTATGTATATATAAGACATATACCCACAGCGATTTTCTATCACGTTCGTTTTTAATCAAATAATATTAGTCAAAAATAAATACGTGTTTGTTTTATTATTCCTTTGCTTAGTTCCTGCCAGTACTAGCTGGCTTTTCTAGTGGAAGGCTGATCACTTTTTCCATAAATCCATTTAATCCAATCAGTCTTGGCAGGATTGAGACATGTTCTCAGTGGAGGTCAAGATCTTGTTTCCTGGTCACTAAGAGCATGGGATAATAGTAAACTCCAGAACCATTTGTAAAATACTGTCAGTCAGACAAATCCAAATACCTGTCATGTGCCCAGTAAGTTATTGAACTTTAAGAGAATAAAGTATGACCCTTATTATTGTGTTTCTAATCTTCTCAGAAAGGGAAAAAAGACTATATATAATTAGTGCTCAGCTGTACAATTCAGCATATAAGTAGAAATTATTTCACTATGAAATCAGATAATTGAGACAAAATTTTAGATTGAGTGAGTAATAATAGCCTTATCTTCTTTTGCCCTTTATCCTCTTCCCACATTTAAACTAGGAAGAGAAATGAAACAAGTCACCTGTGGATGTTATTGGAGAGTATTGGATATGATTCTTTGCTCTTACCTGGTGCTCTTTCACCCCACCCCTAACTTTCTCCTTAACTCTCTGGCAATTCCATGCAAGGCCACCTAAAATACCCCTTTCTCAATAAAGATTTTCCTGAATTCCCACCTAAAAATAATTTCTTCCTTCTCTGCCTTTCATAGCACTTTATGTGTGCTGCTCCATTTGTGACCCATGTGTATTCTGTTTTAGTTATTTATCAGGGGAAATTCAGCCAGATATCGGGCAAAATTCACCCTCGATATTTCATGTAGGTTCTTTTCTGTTTTCCCTAAGCATTGGCCAGTTTGGGAAATAAAGGGACAGAGTACAAAAGAGAGAAATTTTAAAGCTGGGCTTCCGGGGGAGAAATCACATTTCGGGAGGTTCTGTGATGCCCCACAAGCCGCAAAACCAGCAAGTTTTTATTAGTGATTTTCAAAGGGGAGGGAGTGTACGAATAGCGTGTGGGTCACAAGAGATCACGTGGTTCACAAGGTAATAGAATATCACTAGGAAAATGGAGGCAGGGCGAGATCACAGGACCACAGGACTGGGGCGAAATTTAAATTGCTAATGAAGTTTCGGGCACCCATTGTCATTGATAACTTCTTATCAGGGGACAGGGTTTGAGAGCAGACAACCGGTCTGACCAAAAATGTATTAGGCGGGAATTTCCTCGTCCTAATAAACCTGTGAGCACTATGGGAGACTGGGGCTTATTTCATCCCTACAGCTCCATAAAAGATGGCCGCACCCAAGGGGGCCAATTTAGAGACCCACCTCAGTGATGCATTCTCTTTCTCAAGGATGTTCCTTGCTGAGAAAAATAATTCAGTGATATTTCTCCCATTTGCTTTTGAAAGAAGAGAAATATGGCTCTGTTCCACCCGGTCACTGGTGGTCAGAGTTTAAGGTTATCTCTCTTGTTCCCTGAACATTGCTGTTATCCTGTTCTTTTTTCAAGGTGCCCAGATTTCATATTGTTCAAACACACATGCTCTAAAATTTGTGGAGTTAATGCAATCATCACAGGGTCATGAGGTGACATACATCCTCCTCAGTTTACAAGATGACAGGATTAAGAGATTAAAGTAAAGACAGGCATAGGAAATCACAAGGGTATTGATTGGGGAAGTGATAAGTGTCCATGAAATCTTCACAATCTATGTTCAGAGATTGCAGTAAAGACAGGCATAAGAAATTATAAAAGTATTAATTTGGGGAACTAATAAATGTACATGAAATCTTCACAATCCACGTTCTTCTGCCATGTCTTCAGCCGGTCCCTCCGTTCCGGGTCCCTGACTTCCCGCAACAGCTATTTCATAATATTAGGGATTGTATGGCTATTCAGACGTCCTTCTTGAGGGCAGGCTCTTTATCTTTTCCTCACAACAGTTAGCAGTGTCATGGAGATAGCAAGTATTTTATAGAAAATATTGAGTGAGTCCATGAATACGTTTTAATTATTTGGGTACTTAAATGTAGAAGGTTAGTTGCTTTAACTGTGCTTATACAATGGAAACCCTGTTCTCTGTCAAAAAAAAAAATGTGAAGATCTTGAAAAATGTGGAGAAACTGGGGAGCAGCTAAGTGGCTCTGAACTAGTCAGATTAGGCTCATCTATGCTGTAGTAACAAACAAGCCCCTAAACCTCAATGGCAATTGATATTTATTTCTCATGTGATCTGCCTCACAAATCATTGCAGGAAATAATGTTACCAATGTTTTGGCTCTTCATAAAACATTCATTATTTTCTCTGTCTTTTATATAGTTTTCTCACCCACCTCTGCTCAGCCCCTGTGACAATGTCCATCTATTGCAGGTGGTGGATACAACAGCAGCCCACTTATGGTATCAGTTTATGTTTCAGTCAGAGTAGAATAAGCTATGCTGTGGAAGAAAATAAATGCTAAAATTTCACTGGCATAACAAATTAATGGTTAATTTCTCAATCATGCAAGTCCAATGAAAGTGTACTAGGTGGCTTTTCTCCATCTTGTGGCTGTGCCATCTGAAGAATGTGACCTTAAGATCACCACACATGGAAGGAAAGACCTGAAGGACCATGTGAATAAAGGGCCAGATTGGTCTGTGGCCATATCACCTCCACTAAATCCATTGCCCTCAATCCAGTCACATGCATCCTAACCTCAAGGAAAACTGGAGAAGCACATGGATGGATACCTGGTGAGAACTAATAGCATATGCCACAGATTCTATAGTGGCATTAGAAGTTCACCTAATTCTTAAGTCTTGTTTTTATTTATTTTATTATTTATTTATTTTTTGAGATAGAGTCTTCCTCTGTCACCCAGGCTGGAGTGCAGTGTCACTTGGCTCACTGCAACTGCCACCTCCCGGATTTGAGCGACCCTCCCACCTCAGCCTTGGAGTACTTAGGATTACAGCTGTGAGCTACCACGCCTAGCTAATTTTTTTGGATTTTTAGTAGAGATGGGATTTCACCATGTTGGTAAAGTTGGTCTTGAACTTCTGACCTCGGTCTCCCAAAGTACTGGGATTACAGGTATGAGCCACTGTGCCCCGCCCTAATTTTTAAATTTCAAATTTTAAATTTTTAAATTTTAAAGTCTGATTTTTAAAATACCGAAAGGTATACCCTCCAATTTCTCCCTAGGAATATGCCCTGTGTTAGTCCAGAAGATGCTGAAGGCATATTTGAGGGGTTACCATGGGGGCATTCTTTCATCTGATCACTGCAGATTTCTCCTTAACTCTGTCATGTCTCATCAGTGTAGACTGACCCACACTTTTCCACACCATTTACCTCTCTGGATTGGATTGACTATTCTTTATCTCATTTTTAACCTCTCCTCATCTGTCTTCATGGAGATGTAGTTTTGTGTTTTAACATCTCTAAGAATATGTTTTGTTAATGTAAATTATATTTTACATATCCTCTGTACTCTATTTTATGTATCATATCCTCTGTTTTTTAATATTATGATGCATACTATAATGCCTCTTACATGATCTAATTATAGAATTTTGACAAGTACACTATTGAAAATCAGCCTCATAATTAACAGATATTACTTTATTTTGCTGCAATTAATTGTTGCCTGCTTTATCTTAGCAATTATTTCTTGGATGGCAGAATTGGATAATCTGTGTTGCCACATGGGAATATCTATGTAAATGGCAATTAAATACATCCTATTAAAGTATGGTGTGAAAGAGATAGATTTAAGTTGGGAAATAACTTCCCTGTGACCTTAGAGAGTTTCTGGATTGATCATCAGATAAGTCTACAACAGATGCCAAAGAAGGTAGTATCAGTTTAAGAGATTTCATTCAGCTAAACACATATAATAAGGAAGACTATTTCCAGGAGCTACTATGTACATTAAATTCTATTAGTGATCATCAACAAAATTTATTAACATAAAAATAATAAAGCCATCTGAAGAATAATTACTGCCTATTGGGAGAAAAAAATAGAACCATGAAGAAAATAAACTCTGCCAACTTAGTGATTTTCGTTAAGTAACCAAACATTTCTACTTTGTGTCTTCCAAGGAAATTCTTTCACTTATCAAGTGTTATACATATTCTTTGTTCTAAAACTGCTCTATTCAGCTGTCATTCTATGATTTTGTTTTCAAGGTTGCCCCTTCTCTTCTTACTCATTTTAATTCTTTTCTCTTTGTACTTAGATTAAAATAAAGTCAATTTTAGGACTGTGAGGTAAGAAAGGAAGAATTTGAAAGATGCAACGTCCTTGTTTATAGTAGATATTTCAAAGAAAAAATGTAAAATTCTCGTTAATCTAAGAAGACTCAGAGAATATACAAGATTTAAAGAACTATCTTTAATAAACTATTGGGTAGCATTGCACACTCAGGGCTTACAACTGAAAAAAGAATCTGGCAATTTTATGCATGAAAAAAGCAAGAGTAAACTAATGGTCTATATAGCATTTCAGGAGGTGGGACGGTTCTTTCCAGGTTCATGTAAAGCTGAATTGGGGTAATATCTCTCCCCTCCACAAACATCCCCACTGGGCCTTCACAAAGCCTGTGAAACAGCAAACAGTTGTTTTCCTAAGTAAATCAGTATGCAGTATCAATTTTAATGAAATCCTTTAAAAATATTTATAAGACATACTTTGTGAGCTGGCTCTTGAAAAGTGATTAGGGATTGAATATGTGGAGAGAAGATTTTTCATTTTGTTTTATGTTTTTGAAAACTAATGAGAACAATGTTTGAAAGGAAGAAGGAGTAAGGTCAGCAGAGTGGGAAGATAAGGCAACCCAAAACTCATCAAAGAGCTAAGCAAATGGAGGGCGAGGGGCATTCCGTTTGGCCTGTTCTCTTGGATAATTTATGAAGTTCAAGTCACAGAACTGGGAATAAACTCCCAAATTTTCAGGTTCTGTGACCCATTCGCTTTTCACTCTGCTCCTCTCCTGCGAACTAAAAAGACCTCGAATTTTAAAATATAATCAAAACCCCCCAAAACTTAAGAAAGTGTATTCTCCTTTCAGCCATTTAAAATAGGAAAACAATGAAAAGAAAGCCTCCCTTAAAATCTGAACATTCAAAGCTTTCAGTTAAATTTATAGATTTATTCAAGAAGAGTTGTCATTCTATTAAGTTAGAAGTTGACTGTTGTACTGCCTCCTCCAACTGTATTTGATTCCAGAAGTCACAGAGTATTTACACTTTGTGGTTCTTCTTTCTGTCGCTAATCCACATAAGAGAGATACGTATTGTCACTCTATTAAACAACTTATTTGTGGTTTGACTGTGATTTTCCCTGAACCTTATATGTGTTTCCTTTCATTATGGTTAGAATCTTGGGCAGATGGATTTTTTCTTATCCATCCCTGCCTCTGTTCCACAGGCACACAATATCATCCTTACATATGTAAATCACATTAAACTGGCAAGCTTCCCTACCAGACTGGACCCTGCAGGGAGCAGGGTATGTGCCATGCTTATTTCTGTGTCCCTCACTAAACCTAACACAGGATCACACAGTAGAGATTCAACAGAAATTTTTGAATATGTATTATGTTTTTTAAACCACATTGAATTTAAGTAATTGCTTATTATGAAAACAATAACTATTAATTACAGATAGTTGCACACCAAAAAGGGAAAAAGCAATCTTTTCAAAACTGTCGTATGACTAAATTAAAGTCCTAATCTATTTTCCCCTTCATGTTGGTTTGTAGATGTATTCTCAGATCAAATACTATTGAGATTCAGGAAAGCTTGTGTTTGGCAAGGTGAATCATTGACTGCATAGGGCTGGCAGCCAAAAATAAAATAGTTGATTGCAAATAAAATGATAGGCTAAGAAATCTCAGCAGTGCACTTTTGGGGTAAGACTATGGTTTGAGGAGAAATCCATTGGGAAAAGTCAACCTGGGCATGATCCAAGCAATGAATGCCTTTAGTAGACTAGATTCAGCAAATGAAACTGAGTGATTTCAAATGGAGGTTCAATGTGAAAGTCAGAGAATGGGGAGAGATTGAGTTTATATTTTTCATTTCCAGCCAAGTTATGGATTAGAGTGTTTCCCAGGAAGAGAAGTACTAGCTGGGGTTGAGAATCAACTTCTAGGACTGAAAGAAACTTGAAATACTAGGCAAGTTTTATGGTAGACAGATCTACCATAAAGTTAAGAATCAAAGTGGAAACTCAATTCTGTGAACTTACCCAGCACAGGATGGGGACATGGAAAGCCATGATTGGGAGCTATACAGAAATCTGGGAATTGCTGTGATCCCTCAGATTGAGGTTTCCAAGACAAAGAAGAATTGGTTAGGTGGAGAGAAGTGGAGACACCCGGCACTCATGCTGGGTCATGCTAAGTTAAAAGGACCATGGCTTCATTCCAAGTCTGACTCAATGGTAAAGAAACAGTTGTACCACTTCCTTAGTCAGGCTTTGCACATGAACTAGGCTAGAGCTAGAGTAACCATCTTATCTGTTTTACATACCAGTTCTCTTTTGAATATAGAAGAAATCACCTTAATAATTATGTCTGGACCATAGTCAAAAGCTTGGATTTTCTAGGCAGACTGAGACATATTGTCACCTAGAGCATAGTCTATTGAAGGTAATGGGGGCTGAGTTTCAGGGATCTTTCTGAAAGGACCGGAGGTGATAGAAGTAGGAGAGATTGGGTTAGTTTTGACAACAATTATGTCTTATCTACATGTGAAGGCTATTTGGCATTCCTTACCAGAAGGCACTAATGGCTAGGTTAGGTGGGAAAAAGATAAAGACACCCTGCCAGTGGTTTTCTGGAGGACTGTAGTGGAACCACAGGAGGAATATGCTGGAATGAAATTCTTCACGGGCATATCCTTTTGGATTTCTTAGTCAATCATGAATTAGATGATCAGGAGATGAGTGACTAAGTCTATAGGACGAGAAGAAAGAGACCCATCAAGATGCACAGCAACTCCCCATGATTAGAATCATGGAAAACTAATGCATATAGATCAGGGTACAGAAGATAAGATGACTTCTCTTCCCCAGGAAAATCCCTAAAGTGACCAGAATAATGTGTTTTCTCCAGTCTTAAGAATATATATTTAGGGAAATGACATTTGTAGATTTTCCACCATTGCCAGTCTACATAGTTGAGAAGAAGCACCAATGTTATCATGTATTTTATTCACTGAAAGAATCACAGAGATTCAATAGCTTGTGTTTCCAAGCATTATGGGAGACTGCTTAACAAGTCCAGAAATGCTGAATAAAATATCACAAACATTCTTCAGATGAGATTCTAAACTGCTAGAAAGTAAGGGACCTCACCGGAGACAAAAAAGAGAGAGAGAGTTGAAAACCTGAGGTACACAGCACATTCAACATCAGACTAGGCTTTGAGCAAGGGACAGGAGAGATTTGGGAATGAGGCACTGCCCATAACATCAGAGCCCATAAAAAGTGACGTGCTCAGTAAAAGGGTTGACTTGAAAAAATTTGTTCATTGCCAAAAAGATAATAAAGATGTCTGGACTGGGGTAGGTATCAAATAAACAAACTAAAACGTGTTTGAGACTCTTGCTATGAATATGACCTAATGGCATTTGCCATCTTAATTTATACCAAATCCCTTGCATGACTTTGAACCCCCCAAGATGAGAAATGAACCGAAAAATAATCCCAGGATGGTACTACTTATCTGATTCTTGGCCAAAGCAAGCACAAAATCTCCCTGGAGGAACAAAGTTCATAGGACTTCTAAACAAATCCCCCTATTACTCATGTTTCTACCAGTGGTCCCCTGAAGAAATAAATATGCAGCCTCAGGAACATTTTATGAATTGCAATTTTAATTCTGGTTTGAGTCCCTATCTTCTTTGCATAATATCTTTGGCTCCACACCTTCCTGTGCTATGATTGCTCAACAAAATAAAGATAATTTAGAAGTGGACAGAGTATGCAGGGGCTTACTGAACAACAGAAAAGTAATATCCTTCTATCTATGGCTTATTTTTAGAATGTGTCCTTAAATTTCAGTGTTTGTCATTATCATTCACAGAGCTTATCTGTATTGACCTTTACTATCCTTTTTAACATCTTAAAAGCTTCAATCATATCTCTGCTCTTCAATGTCTTTTCTTCAATTGTTGTAATCTCAGTTTGTCTGGCTCTCAGAACTAATATAACCTTCTTTCCCATTTATCATTCTGGTCCCGTCAATCCCTTCTGCCTCCTCAATGTCTTTCCTGTGACATTATTCCTTTCCCTGCCGAGGGAGATTGTCTGAAATGGTAAGTCACTGAGTGTAGATTAATCAGCTACCATTACAATGTCTGGCTTCCCAAGACATGTTTGTAGCCTATTTCATAAATTTGTTGTTCTTAAAAGCAAACCTAATTTCACAATGAAACTACCCAATCCCCTTTTCATCAAAAACCAGGGTAAAAAATGTCTTTGGTGTAAACAACACTGTTCAGCTACTGTGATCTAATTGGAGTTAGTTTACACTGTGCCTTCTCTAAAATCATTCCTCTTGGAATTCTTATTATAGTGAGCACTGCTTTGATCCCTTTTAGTCTCTTTTTGTCCTCCATTTCTTCCCTATTTTGTCCTTTCTTTACTCCTTAGAGAGTGCACATTCCTGTAACATAAAGCAAGCTGTTGGTAACTACCCCTGGTATTCTGTGCACAATAATCTTTGTGCAGTGCTTTTATTCTTCACGCTTGATGTGTGGAACAACTCTGTGATTTCTGCTAATGCCCAAATAATAGTTTCCTCAAATGCTAAATGCCATGCTCAAGCTAAGATAAGACGACAGCGGTCAGAATAAGAGCTCAGGTCTTCTGATGCTTACTTTTTTCACTAAACCAAGAACCTTAAAACTAGAGATCTTTTTGACAACTTAATCTAGTATGGAGGTATTACCAGGTTCTTGCTAAGGTTGAGAAATTCCCTTTTTGTGAATACAAGAACTGTATTTGTGTGTTATTTGTATATATTTGCATAATGATTTCAAATGTCCAATATTCAAGTACACAAGTTGAAATGTAGTAAAGCTACTGAAGTCTACATGATTCTTTTAAGAACTTCCTTTTAGAGCATCTAGGAACATCCTCATCATATGACTCCTGAATTTCTACTTTCTATTTTTTATTTCTACTTTCCCTATGATCTCTCTTTAGCAATATTCCTTTTTTTTCTCCTAGCTTCATAGATATATACTATCAACTTATATATTTATATATTTAAATTGAATATTCAAGCAAGATGAAAGGACTTCAATTCTGGTAAGGAACTTATACAAAACTAATCTTACATAGAGTTAGGGGTGGGAGAGAATAATAGCAGAAGGATAATGTTCACTAAGTTACTGACCAAAGTCTGTACTAGGTATATCACATACCCATTCCCAGTAGACACCTTCCCTTCTAACAGTCATGAAAAGTAGTAATATTTCACTTATTTTACAAGAAGCACAAAGAGATTCTGAAGATAAAATGCAATTGTTAATAAATTTAAAAGGCAGGATTGAAACCCAAGTATGTATGATTCCAACGCTAGCGCCCTTTCCACTGTATCAGGCTGCGTCATGTGATAGGCATCACCACATATGACATGGTCTCAAGTTGCTGAGCAGGCCTGGGATCCTGATCAGTCAACCAACATGCATTGGACTCAACCCACATATGGGATGCTAACGGATGAGACTCAATCTTTCCAATCAAGAAACTTACAATCTCATTAGGAAAACAAGTATAGCAGATATGATATGATTAACAAACATTGCATGATTACTTCATAATATGCATATGTGGGGACAGGGGGTATATAAGAACTCTTAACTTTCTGCTTAGTTTTGCTGTGAATCTAAAATTGCTCTAAAAAATAAAGTTAGTTTAAAAAAATCTGTCAGAGTTGAGTATTTGTTGGAATTCTTACAACTTCCAAAACAAGTACCCTCTCGCCAATCAGTAATACAACCCAATGCATACAGAACATCATTTTAAGGCAGACAGGGCCACCACATACAGCCTGTGATCTAAGCAATTTTTAAGAGGACTTTGTTTCTCAGCAACTTCAGTGTCGGCAGGCTCCCCTAAGTGTTGTCTCACTCAGCTGGATGGCATGTGAACCACAAAATGAAGTGCAGCAGCTTTGCAGGTTGACTTCTGCAAGAAGTGTGAAGAAATATCCGTGGATTTGCAAGAAGTGTTAAAAATATCGCAATCGGAATATTGTCAATCACTTCTAAATAGATACTTTCTCAGGAAACATGTTTCCTTTCTTGTTTCTCACTCTCTCTTGTGGCTGGGCAAATGTATAGTAGTTTAAGGTGTTGCAAGAGGCAAACTCCACTTAAACCTCTTTATTTCCCTAGCTGAGACTTTGAAGAATAGACCATAAGGAGCTTGGGGAGTTATGTGCTATTTAGTTTTCTTCCTGACATCTTCCTTTTGACTTACTGCAGATTTTTTTTTTCTCATGCCAATATATTTTTGTATGTTGGATCTCACTGAGGACAAACAAGAAACAGGCTGTGCTAATAGAACCAAGCTAGGGGATATTTCAATTCAGTGTTCAGCTAATAGATTTAGCATAATTTATCATAGGCATAATGTACCTCCGATTGTATATAAATAAAATTAGTCCTTATGTTGAAAAAAAACTGTTATAGTATATGTGTACCTTGCATGGAAGCTAAGAACCCAGTTTCACAAATGCTGTCTCACCCCAATGACACATTATATTGAAAAATCCAAATACCAAGCCATGACATTCAAGTAATTTTCATGAATTTAAATATGCTGATCAATTACTCAAAAAATATTCCAGAGGAAGACTATGGGGTTCTGTTTGATTATAAAGTGTCAGAAATATGGATCTTTAAGAAACAAAAATCACCCCTCAATTGCAACAATAAATCTGAAAGTCTATGGCAGAATAATTTGCAGAAAACTTAATTGGGCTTCCATCTCTTCCTTCTCTTCCACAACATAGACCCAAATAGGTAATGTGCAGTTTTACTGTTTCCTAAATGTAAATTCCATACTCAGATTCTGTTTTTTTTTTTTCCTGTCTTAAGATGAGGATTTGAAGTTGGCCAAAGTGTTAATCTTCTAGATCCTTTCCTTCACCAGCAAGAATCTGACTGTAGCTGACCCTTCATGAATGCTGCCTGATTTCATCCACCATCACATTCTCTATCAGTAGGCTGCAATTTATGAGTTGTTCATAGAAAAGTGAAGGAGATTAAACAAAAATCCTACTGATCATCCTGGCTACTTCCAATTAGGCTGTCTCCAAATTGTGCTTCATTGGGGTCCAGAAGAGGAAATCAACTATACAATCAGATATTTGGGTGTGATAGTCACAGGAGCAAAGCATTTCCTCTAAAACACAAAATCTGATTGTGCAATTCCCTGCTTAAATTCTTTCATTAGCATCATCACCCCTGTTTTCTTCCCAAACCCTATTATGGTATGGTTTCTAGTTAGTTTCAGTATCTAAATCTAGATTCTTCTGAGGCAGTGGTGCTATCATATCATATCATATCATATCATATCCTTGAAACCTGGAACTCCTGGGCTCAAGGGATCCTCCGGCCTCAGCCAACCTAATAGCTGGGATTACAGGAGTGAGCCACATTGCCTGGGTCAGTATCTCAATTCTTGCTGAGCTTTGCCTGAAACTCTGCTCCTGGCACACCAATTTCTACAGGCTCCTTCACAATTTCACACCTGTTTCGTCTACCTCCCTGTTCCTCAGCCCTAAATACTGGTCACCCTGATCTTCTCCTGTCCATGTTCCTAAACTTCCAGTTCAGCAATCATGCTTGACTTTCCTGAGCACCTTTTATCTCCAGGTAAAGGTGACCCTTCTTCCTTGTGCCCTAATTGCTGTTTTTGATCAGTGATCATTGAGCCACTTAATTTGTAAATTTCTTGAAAATAGGGACACATTCTTAAGCATCTTATCCATCTCCGTACTTCCAACTCTTGTAACAGTGCCTAACACATTAGAGGTAGTGAATAAATATTTCTATAAACACTGTTCCAATGAAGGAATAAGCAAAGAAGCAGTTCATCTATAGAAAGCAGAGATTACGTGAGTGTATCTAGAGACAGCCTTTTGCATGAGTGTAATAAGGAACTGTCTCCTTTACTTACACAGTATGATTTTAATAGTCTTGATAAAAGTTTATCTGCATAAAAGTTATCTTCTTATATTTTATTTCAATAATCTTTCCTTTTTGTAAAGGCATTAGTTTCAATCATTAAAATGCACAAAATAAATAATAAGACAGTGCTAAAAATGGGGGAAAGTACTGAATAATGGTTCAGGCAACAGGGCAAACAGACCTTGCGTGTACCCACCAATAATGTAATAATAATAACAATAATGACATCTAGAAGACTTTAAAGACAGTGACAGGAAACTCAACAGGTGTTGTAATTAGGTCAACATCAAAGTAGTTAAGTTCACTTACACTGCCAAAAGTATCAGTTTTATATGTCTGGAATTCTAAAGCCCTAAGGGGTCAAGGAATATGGCCTTACGCCCAGGGCAGGTGGGAGACTGAAACTGATTTGGAGCTGTTTAAGGATGGCCCGAGTTTATAAAACAGAACATAGATGAATCTGGCCAACAAGTAGAAGATGACAAAGAAGCTTGTCATCTACCTCACTGTTTGTGAAGAAGCAATTTCTCATGAGAAACTTTAACTCCCTGTCTGCCGTTGTGCATGGAAGTGAGATCTGGATTTGCTCTATACCAGCCAAAGCTAAGAATATAATATAGATATGAGTCCAAGATTCACAAAACCCTGGGACTCTAGCAAAAGCAACTTAAAACTACTCTACAGGGACATTTACACAATCCAGGGCACATGGCACTCAAAGAGTAAACAACTCCAACCAAAAATGACTTCTAACAAAAATTACATTCCCCTCGAGGAAGTAAGTCACAATAAGAGAGAGTCAGAAGATGCAAAAGATGAGAAAAATGGTGCCCCAAGGACAATAAACAATAAAACTGATATTTCACATTTTTGAGATTCAACGACATTGAATCACATAGATACGACTAGGACTTTCATTGAAGAAAAACTTGCTGTGAAGTTGAAGATGAAGTTACTGTGATACATAACATGCCTCAGTGATTTCACAAGGCTTGGCTTATCAGAGGTTTGTTTGATTCAAGGGAAATTGAGAAGGTATGTGTTTCAAAGGAATAGGTCAGAAAGCTTTTGCAGCAAAAGTGCCTACTTATGATGACCTCTATGGGAGTCTGTTCAGGCTGCTATAACAAAATAGCTTACACTGGGTGGCTTATAAACAAGGGAATTTATTTCTCACAGTTCTGGAGGCTGGGAAATCTAAGATCAAAGGTCTGGCAAGTTCAATATCTGATACAAGATGACTTCCTGGTTCACAGCACATTCTTACTGTGTCCTCACATGATGGGAAGTACTATCTGGGGCCTCTTTTATAAGGGCACTAATCCCATTCATGAGAGCACTGCAATAGCAACCTCAAAGACATTTTACAATAGTGGCTGCATGATATTGGAATAAGTGGAACTTCTTAGTGCCCATATTTACTTTTGCCTCCTCAGCCCTGGATTAACTGGATATGGCTTCAGTTTGACTCTTCACATACACATTTACTCAGACTACCAAGTTTTTATTGATTGATTTCCACGTGGCTGAGTGGTGCCCCAGCCCTTGGCCTCTCTAAAATAATTGTTCTGGGTCTATATTCCCTTTGCTTTGCTGTCTTCTATGAGTTTATGTCTGCAGGGTAAGATAGGAGGCTATATATATATTTTTTTAAATTTAATTTTATGTTTTGAAACAAAGTCTCACTGTGTCACTCAGGCTGGAATACAGTGGCACAATCATGGCTCACGGCAGCCTCAACCTCCTGGGCTCAAATGATCCTCCTGCTTCAGCCCCCTGTGTAACACACACCGTCACACCTGGCTAATTTTTGTAATTTTTAGTAGAGATAAGGTTTCACCATGTTACCCAGGCTGCTCTTGAACTCCTGACCAGCCTGAGCAAGACTCAAGTGATCCTCCCACTTTGGCGTCCCAAAGTGCTGGGATTACAGGAGTGAGCCACCGTGAGTGGCCAAGGGACAGGAAGATTTATAAACATCTTTTGCTTAAAGTTACTTCTAAAGAAAATCCATGTTCCATAGAAAAGTGGATATCAAAACACAGGTAAATACTATTTCCTAATAGCAACAGCCAAGAGATGGTTCAGGAACATCATTATGTGTAATCACAACATGCCCAGAGTAGTCTAGATAATCTGACAATTTTTGCCTTACCACACATGGCTCTGATCTCAGGCACCTTTTATATTTAGAGAGTCAGCTGCTTTATCCCAATTTTTTCTTTTCTTTTCTTTTCTGTTCTCTCCTTTCCTTTCCTTTCCTTTGTTTCTTCTCTTCTCCCTCCCCTCTCCTCCCCATCCCCTCCCCTCCCTTCCCTTCCCTTCCCTTTCCTTCCCTTTTCTTCCCTTCTCTTTCTTTTTTTTTTTCTTTAAGAGAAGCAGTTTCTCTATGTTGCCCAGGCTGGACTTGAACTTCTGGGCTCAAGTGATCCTCCCACTTCAGCCTCCCAAGTAGCTGGGACTATAGGTGCACACCACCGTGCCTGACTAGTTTTTTTGTGTGTGTTTATTGAAGAGATGGGGTTCCACCATGTTGCCCAGGCTGGTCTCAAACTCCTGAGCTCAAGCTATCCTCCCACCTTGGCTTCTTGAGTAGCTGAAACTACAGGTGTGTGCCACCACACCCACCTTTGACATTTTTAAAGGAAATTACTCAAACTTATCTAAAAAGAAGAGATAAACTGAGAGGTTATTAATATTCTTTCTTTTCATGGAAAAAATCCCTTGTATGTGAATTATAAATAGAATTAAACTACTGCCAGTTATTTTTTTAATGTGCATTGCTTGATACAAATCATTTGTAAAATCATTATTAGCATACATCATTAGGAAGGCATTTTATTATTCCCAATCATAATTCTTTTTTTTTAATAATCTGCTGAGAGTCACAATTCAGATCCTGGAGATTAGGCATGAGAAGTTGGGGGTTGGTATGAACTTTGTGGAGGACACTTAAGTTGCTCCTCCCCAGTTTCTGCTTCCAGACTTGAGAATGGGGAGTCCACTTCTCTCTATAGATACCATAACCAGTTCAAAAAGGAACAATGCACTGTGCTGAAGGGATCTTCTTTCACTAGAATAAGAATTCCAAAAGACTAATACCCCAGACACTTTATATTACTGTTTACTGCATTTAGTCTTCAGAATATTATTTTTTTTTTCCTGCATGGTACCCAACAATGTCATGTTAGTGTGTATTTTCTTCCATATGTTTTTTAGTTTCTTTGGAAACCTTCTAGATGCTGTTTTGTTTAGAGTGTTTTGTAGGAAAGGAATTTACACCATTTATAATAGTTAGAACAAGAAATGTTTATATGATGTGAATGAATTCTCTAGAGAGAATTTTACATAACTGCTTCATTTTAATTTCGTACCTTGACTCACTTTTTTCCTCATTTTTTTATTATAGACAGGATAAAATGCTAGTGAAAGATCAAAAGCTAATTAAAAGTAATCAAGAAATTTTCTTTCTTTACATTTATTTCTAACAGCAATTTAGGCTCATATCATTTGTAACTTTTTGAAAATCAATGTTTAGCAAATTATTACCCTGATTCTCATTTAGGGTTTAACGATTTCCTTATAGATATTGTTATATGGGAGTTTATGTGTGTTACTGAAGGCAACCCTAATACAATTAACAACTAAGATGCACTGAATATTCTGTATTATGAAACATCAACTACATTAAATCTATAGTTTAACTTAACCCTCACTGTAACACTAAGAAACAAGTATTGTCATTCCATTTTATAGGAGCTATTTGCATTTTGGATTGCTAATTTCATTTACTCAACAAGATGTTGACCACAAAATATACCCCAGGCACTGTGCTAGACTTTAGAAGTTTAAATAAAAATAAGTAAAAATCTTACACTTAAGATTCTCAGTTTATTGGCATAGAAACAAAATACAATTTAAGCATTCTAGTATAAATTTCTTTGTAAACAACTATTGGGCTTAGTAACACAGCAATTTATACCATTTTATCTATTGCTTCAACCAACATTAATGATCCTTACATGCAATGGTTTTCAATCATGTAGGTCATGTACCTCAGCTCAGAAAAAAAGCACATCCTCATCTCCAGAATACGCATGTCTGTCTGTAACTAGCACAGTTGCACACGCATTGCAAGGAGACTTGAGGACCCCTAGAATGTCATCTGCACAATTCTGCTCACATTTTCTCCCATTTCTAATTCATTATCTTTATTTCTCTTGGAGTTTTTTTCATGAAAATCTGATCATGCCACTTCCTTTCATAAACACTGCAAAGGCTGTTGAGGCCTATAGGGTAAAAATATAAGCTCATAACCATGGTGTATAGAGGGATTCATGATCTGAATACAACTCACCTTTGCAGCCTCATCCTCTATCCCCATCTTTCCACTTATGCCATCCCACATTTGCTATGCCTATTATTTTTTGGGAAATTTTTATAGCGATTGCATCCTTTTTTTTTTTTTTTTTTTTTTTTTCATAAAATGCCTTGCCTACAACCCTAGTCTCTTTACTGAACTATTTACTCCTACTGAGCCCTCAGGGAATAGTTCAAAGATCACCCCTCTGGCCTTTCAAGAGAGTTAATGTTCCCTGCTCCTGATTGGCTCACTTTCATTATAGTACACTCAGTTCTCCATATCCATGGGTTCTGTATCCGTGGGTTCAACCAACCACAGACAGAGGGAAAATATTTTTTTAAAAAATGGATGGTTGCATCTGTACTAAACATATAGAGACTTTTTTCTTGTCATTATTCTCTAAATAATACAGTATAATAGCTATTTACATAGTATTTACATTTTATTATGTATTATAAGTAATCTAGAGACGATTTAAAGTACACAAGAATGTGTGTAGATTATATGCAAATACGATACCATTTCATATCAGAGACTTGGGCATCTGTGGATTTCAGTTTCCGCGGCGGGGGCGGGGGTCTGAAACCAATCCTCTATGGATATCGTGGAACAACTGTATTTGTAATTTTGTCTTGTAATCATTCCTGAATCAGTGATCCAGAGCTGCTTTTGATCAGAGACTATGCCTGTTGATATCTGCATTTCAATTATGTATTCTAACACCCGGCACATAGAAAAAACACAGACATATTTATTTAATTTATTGATATAGGCAAAATATTCTTTATCTGGAAAGCAACTTCAAAGTTTTGCTTTTCCTCCCAAATACGCAACTCTTCATACTACTTCCAAGAAGTAATGCCTGATCTCTCAGAAAGTTAATATTTTGTGATAAAAATTCCGAACACCTGTGCAGGCTGTGTTTGATCAGATGACCTTGTGCTGTCTGGACTCAGGATAACTGCTCACAGACTTAAAAGTAAGGTATGTTGAGCTAAAGAAGCCAGAGAAATAGACTTTCATGGTATGATTTGTATAAATAAATTTGAAAACAGGCAAAACTAATCTATGGTGATAGAGGTCAGAATAGTGGTTATCTCTGGGGGACAATGATCTCTGGTAAGGGGCTTGAGTGCGCTTTCTTGGATATTGGAAATGTTTTATAACTTGATTGAGGTGACTGTTAAATGGATGAAAACATATGTAAACATTCCCTGAGCTACTAATGAAATACTATTAGAACTATAACTACTACTAATTTTTTTTATAAGTAAAGCTGGCTCTGAGACTTTCACTATGATATACATCAGCAAGACCATCATTCTGATTCAGCTCTAGAATGAGGAAGTGGCTAGTGGGCTTTTAAAAGGCTTGAAATCCATTTTTGCAAAATTTGAGGCCCACCGAAGACCCACTGAAGTTCACCCATGGCCCATGCACTATTAATTTTTATAGATGCTGTGATGGTTTAAAAGATGTTCTCATATCCAATTCTTTGAAAGGCCATCTCTGAAGAATAAGGTCTAATTTACCTCTACTTAAGTGGGGGCTGCACTTTGTGACTTGCTTTTTTTATTTAATAGATAAAAGCTAGTGAGAAATGATGAAGTGCAACTTGGGAGACTGTGAGGTACTGAGGATTATGTTTCATTCACTCTCTCTTGGATCACTGGTAGTGGAGAAAGTTAGCTGCCCTGTCATGAAGACCCCTAATGGAGAGGGCCACATGGTGAGGTACTGAGTCCTCCAGCAGCCAGTTGTAAATCAACAAAGCAGTCTTCCTTAGACCATGTGGTTGTGAAACCATGTGACTGAGCTTGCGAGCAGATTTCCCAGCCCAGATGCTGCCTTCAGCTGTCTGCCGCCCTAGTCAATATCTCTACCATAACCTTACTGGAGAGCCTAAGCCAGAGCCACCTAATTAACCAGCCCTGGATTCTTGACTCTGGAAACTACGTAAGATAATAAATGTTTCTTCTTTTCAACTATCAAGTTTTGGGATAATTTGTTATGCATCAGTAGATGTTTAATACATATGGAAAATTAAGACCCAGAGAGGTTAAGTCACTTGGGTGGGATCACACATAGAGTCATACTTGAGATTAGAATCCAGATTCCTCTCCTATAATGCCTCACTCCTAAAACTGTTGTAAATTTTAGAAGAGATATATTTGTAAAGCATTAGAAAAGTTTTAATACGTAGTGAGTTGTCAATAATGTTAGATTTTAACTTACTATTTATCCTTCAGAATTGACCTCTACTAATTACAACCCAATATGAAATAAATATTAGAGTTTATATCTTCAACTCTAGTCTCGTCATTAAGTATGTTTCATAAAAAAATGAATAAAGAGATCTTCCATCCAGTGTTCAAAAGCCTGAGACTATCCACTTTATAGGAGAGCTGATTGAAAACACAAAGCACCTCTGGCAGAGAGGTTGGCATTACACTCTCTGTCGACGCTCAAAAGCTTCAGGAAGAGTTTACCATCTCAGAGGAATGAGAACAGGTATCATAGTCAGAGGGCATATATCACCTTGGGAGGTAGAGAAACAGGGTTTGAGGAAGCTCTCAAAAAAGAAAGGCTTGTCCTTTTCTTTGTTATGGAAATTGTAAGGAGTTGAAGGATAGAGCTCCAGAATATTGCCATTGAACAAATAGTAAAAGAATAGAATTAGGTACTGGCTAACCCATGGGGCATCAGTGGCACTTTCATTTCTTTTATATTCTTTAATTTGTTATTGAAAATGAATCTATTCTTATTTAATTTGAGAAGGTGGAAGTTTAGGAGTGGATATTTAATTGTTTTACAGTGTGAGAGTATGTACACATTTGTGTGTATGTGCATTTATAGAACCTTGTCTCAACCTACAAATAACTGAATTCAGAAAGATCACAATCTGTGTGAAATTGCTGGTCTACTTCTACTCCTCAGACCTTCAGTAAGTTCACAGAGAGAGAAAAAGATGAAAAAGTGTCTTTTGATGTACAACAAACTCTTCTTCCCTTCCAGGTAGCTTTGATTTGGATTTGGGTTCAAAAGAGGGAATGGTGGGGAGAAAAAGGGAAGGGAAGGAAAAGAGAGAGAGACGTTGGAAGGGAATACAAAGAAACGACATATTAGAGCAAATTGTAATAATACATATCTCAATTGTAGAACTTTATTGAGAATACCAAGCTCATTTGACATAAGGCAGGCATACATTTTAGAAATCTCTTTCATCTAATATATATTATCCAAATTAAAATGTGCTTTTTTAAATTCCCATGGACTTTATTCTTAAGACACAGAAATAAACAATAAAGATAACAAATACACCTTAATAGCAAATCCACTTAAGACATATTCTTATACTCCAATTTTATTTTATATTTTATGATATTTTCTAAACAACCCCTGTGGCAGTTCGAATTATTGTTCCACTTTTTAAGACTTCAAAATTTCAGAAGGTTTAAAAAGAGATTAACTATTTGTAGCCTACATATGAACACAACTTCCTTCTCTGTATGACAACATTAAATGTGTGTGTGCGTTCTTCACATACAGCCTAAGTTGTTCCTATCATCTAGTTCACATTTGGTGAACAAAGCTGAGTAGAGACAAGTAGAGACCCTACCACCAGCTGATCTGCTACCAAAAGATCAGCAACTTAGACTATAGAAATAATTTACAAGAGACAATTTTAAAATCCCATAAAGCTAAGCAATGTAGGGCTTTGCGGGGGAGGTCATTTCTAGTTGCTTAATGGCTTATCTTCAAACATTGTCCTCAGTGGGGTGCCCTGCTATCTTGGATCTGAAATAAATATGCTCTAGCCAATTTCTTGAGTATTTGTGTTGCAAGGAGCATTTGACCAAAGATCCCATCTTCAGGCATCCCTCAGGCTAAAAAAAAAAAGCCACAGAACAAACCGTTAACATTTTTCTTCAATTGTCAAATAGTTTATATACAGAATATATTTTTTAAAATTTAATAAACCAGCAGCAAAAAGGCTATAACAAAAAAAGAAGAAAAATAAAGAGAGATCTGAACACTGGACCAGGCATTGCATGTAAGAAAGTATTAAAATTGGAAATAAATATATTAAAAGGGATTTGACTTTTTTGGTTATCAGTGTGATAAAAATTAAAATCCCATGAGATATCATAATATGCAAACTACAATGGCTGACTTCTTAGAACAGTTGAAAATACCAAGTATTAGTGAAGATGCAAAGACATAGGAATTCTCATAAGATATAAGTAGAAATGTAAATGGAAAAAAATCCTCTTGAAATTGTCTTTCAGTGTCTCCTAGAATTAAATATGTATTTATCTGTGACCAGTGACTTCATTTCTAAGTTTACGTAGAGACAATATGTCAATATTTCAATGTGTCAATATGTCATCTGTGACAAGCATGAGAATTTTGAGGACAATACTAAAAATTAGAAATATTCCAAATGTTCATTAACATTATAAATATCCATTTAAAATAAAATACTATATAGCAATGAAAAAGCATAAAGTACTGCTTGTGCTATAGATTTCACAAGTATAATATTTTGTGAAAGAAACTAAATACAAAATAGGACATAGCTGCATAAATTTCCACATTTGTAGAAATTTCAAAGACATGCAAAACTAATCTCTAGTATGAAAAACCAGAAAAATGACTACCTCTGAGTTGGAAGGAGAGAGAGCAGGAGAGTTGCTTCTGTTTTTTATCTTAGCGGTGGCCATATGGGTATATTTACTTTGTTATAACTCACCTAGCTATATGCTTGTAATTTGTGCACTATTCTATACTTCAAAGTTCAAAACTCAGTGGACAATGACAATGATTACAGTGATAGTAACTACCATTTTTGAATGTTTCATGCCTGTCCATTACAATAAATACAATGAATTAGTAAATTCTTATAATAATTTTGCTAGAAACATATTATTACTCCCTTTTGTAAATAAAGATACTGAGAGTCAGAAAAAAAAAGATGTAACTGAGAATCAGAGGTAACAGTTCAGATCTCCCAGAGCTGAAAATTGGCAGGACCAGAATTCTAACACGGGTTTACCTGAGTCCAAATCCTATCATTTTTCCTTCCCGGCCTCATTGTTAATAGACATGAATTTAGTTTCTAGTGCATCCAATAGAGCTTCTAAATTGATAAAAGATCAAGCTATAAACTATATAAAACCATAACATCCTTTACTTTACTGTAGTATAGAAAAACAAAATGCACCTGGGTGTTTTATGAGGGAAGTTATTCCACCTGAAGGAGAATATGTTTGCATGGCAGCATTCTTTACAGAGCCCTCCTGCCTTCTCATCAGATGGCTGACCCCACCTGACCTGCTAATCAGCAGGGACCTACATCCTCTAGAGATGTTAAGCCATATAAGATATTGGTTCAGACCCGTTGGATTAATGCTTAGTCAGGCTGTCTTCTGGGCTCAGATTTTCTCCCAATTCATGTTTCCCTTTGTGGATGTTGGCTCCATGCTCTGTAGTTCACTTCCCTTGCTTCCTCACAACCATCCCAGGCTCTGGAAATCTTCCTTTGACTTTTTTGGGAGAGGATTTTGGACTAGAACTAGTAATAGTATTCATATGCTACTACTAGTATTTGTGGTTACTTTTAATGGCAAAAACCACAATTACTTTTGCACTAATGTAGTACGAAGACTTATAGGAAGAAATTGCTTATTAAACGTAGGGTGCCTGACTGAAATGAGCCCATAAAGGAACTTGGAGGTAAAAGTGATGAACTCTCCTAAGAAGCAATTGTCCTTACTTTAATCAGCATTCACTGTGTTAAAATTCCACCCTAGGTTGATAGCACATTTCTGAGTTTTTGTGAGGCAGGTAAGATGTAGTGAAAAAATTCTGCCCACTTATTGCCCATGTGACCTTGAGAAAGCTACTTGGCATTTTTTTGTTTGTTTGCTTTTTGTTTTGTTTTGTTTGAGATGGAGTTTTGCTCTGTCGCCCAGGCTGGAGTGCAGTGGCACTATCTCAGCTCACTGTAACCTCCACCTCCCGGGTTCAAGCAGTTCTCCTGCCTCAGCCTCCCGAGTAGCTGGGACTACAGATGCACGCCGCCACACTCGGCTAATTTTTTGTATTTTAGTAGAGGCAGGGTTTCACCGTGTTGCCCAGGCTGGTCTCGAACCCCTTAGCTCAGGCAATCTGCCACCTCGGCCTCCCAAAGTGCTGGGATTACAGGCATGAACCACTGTGCCCCGCCGCCGCTTGGCGTTTTAAACCTCAGTTTCCTCATATATAGAGTGAGGGTAAGGATGTCTAATTTTTTGCCTCTGTAACAATTTAATGTCTAATTCTTATCTCTGTAACAATTTAATGAGATAAAGCATGTAAACATGCTTTGGAGTATTTTATGTTTTCATGAGTCAATTCAACATGATCTGTCAAAAGAGGTTGATTGCACTTTCTCCTAGCCAACAGATTTCTAGTGAAGTGTACCTTGATTGTATCTGAGGCTGAGCATTTTCTTTTAAAAAGAGCTTTGTAAAAATGGCAATATTCTTTATCCTTTACTTAACAGCGGTAATTGAAACAGAGTTTCATGATCCATTGAAACTCTGAAAATGATCAGCTTATTCTGTGGGTGTTATAGTTGTGAGTTGAGTTCCAGTTAGATTTTATAATATATAGAATAATATTAGTATTACTATCATACCTACCATTCATGGACTTTATCACTATTCTTATTTATTTCTCAAAACGATCCTAGGAGGTGCTTTTTAATATTTACATTTTACAAAAGGAGAGGAATTTGGAATCCTGCGCAAGAGAATTTAAGGAAATTGGGCAGCTAATGAGAGCCAGAATGGGATTTATATTGAGTTTGTGTGACTCTCCCCACATGGAGTCTATCTGCATATCCCATCCTTTGTTTGTTACAAATCTCAATAGGAGTAGCATCTGAAGACTTACCTGTGTGTATGCAGTGTCATGATAACTAGTTGAGAAATAAATTATTGGCCAGACGCGGTGGCTCACGCCTGTAATCTCAGCACTTTGGGAGACTAAGGTGGGTGGATCACTTGAGGTCAGGAGTTCAAGACCAGCCTGGCCAAGATAGCGAAACTCTGTCTCTACTTAAAAAAAAAAAGAAAAAAAGAACAAACAAACAAACAAAAAAACCCCACAGAATTAGCCAGGAGTGGTGGCACATGCCTGTAATCCCAGTAACTTGGGAGGCGGGAGGCAGGAGAATCGTTTGAACCCAGGAGGTGAAGCTAGCAGCGAGCCAAGATCGTGCCATTGCACTTCAGCCTGGGCAACAAGAGTGAAACTCCGTCAAAAAAAAAAAAAAAAGAGAAAGAAAGAAAGAAATTATTTAGTTAATCACTAGGTTATTAAGTGTACATGTGACCATACCATAATTTTGACAGATTTCATATTTTATTCAAATTGAAAGTGGGTTTATATTTATATTCTGACAAACCAATTTGATTCAACAGATTATTCACGGGAATAATCAAACTAGTAATTTGATTTAAGAATAGCAATAATATATTTGATTTGAAATGGGACTCACATTTTCTAAAATCAGTGCCAAACGTTTCTCCCACAGTACACAAATATGCATCTACAAATGTCTCACAGTGGCTCTCTTTGGATCTCCTGCTTCTCTGTGCCTCTACCAATCCACCTATCTGGGATCTTTTTCCTCCCCAGTGATTGTGGGCATTATTCTCTTCTCAGCCAATTGTTTTGACATAACCTAATAGATATTTAACTGAATTCCTGAAACTCATCTCTTGTTTTCCCATCAATTACCACGATTTCAGGGCTAGGCTAGACCAGGGCTTCTGAAGCATTAATTATACATATGCATCATCTGGGGATCCTATTAAAATGTAGATTCTTACTCAGCAGACATAGGGTGGGGCTCAAGCTTATGCATTTCTAATACAGTTTTATGCGATACCTTTGCTACTGGTCCTTAGACCATACTTTGAGAAGCAAGGGTATACATACACCACATTAAGTAATAGACTAATTCATTATAAAGAACTTTGATTTGATTGCTGAGAAACCTGGCTTTTTATCCCAACCTACAGGAATTAACCACATAAGCTAATTAAGTCACAAATTCCCTAGGTTTTCATTTCATTAAGATTAAATGTGGGCTCTATCTATCTTAGTCACTTTCCCTGCTCTAACATGGAATTTTCACATTAAATATAACACCACTACTAGTTACACTAAGTTACTGAGTATCTACCATATGCCACATATTGCACCAGAAGCTACGCCTGTTATTTCTTTTTCATCTTCACGAAGACTCCGTAACATAAACTCCATGGCATCATTTTAAAATAGGAGCATTGGGGATTACAGAATAAACGCCTTTTCCAAGGCCACAGGGTGATTGGTGCTAGAGCCAAAATTTTACTTGAATGATTTGTAATTTTCCATTTAAAATTATATTTTATATGATTTATTGTCTAGTTTGTAAAGGCATTTTTGTATAAGCATATATATTTGATCTTAATGTCACATATTTATTTGTTAACATCTTGGCCACCACTTTTTCACTTAAAAAAGCTGAAATTCAGCATTAAAAATAAAATTTGTCCAACTTTAACTTCGCCTGCATAATGAGACAGAGAAGATAGCCTGTGATATTTAGTGACAAAATTAATGAATATTACCATCTTCTTTTTGCTTCAGCTCACATCTTTATTTTTCCCTATTGTTTTTACTTTTTGGATGACAAGGCATTCTCCAGATTCAAAATTCAAAGCTCATTTAAAGAGTATTTAATAAAAAGAATCCCTCTAAATCCTGTCCCTGAGCCACGAGCTGCTCCTCTCCAGAGGCAACCAATATTCGACTTTAAATTCATCCTGAAATACCTTATGCTTATATAAGCAAATCTTTTTCTTTTTTTATCTATTCATGTGACTCTATATTTTTACATGAGGAGCTAGCCGTTAAACCCAGGTCTCTTTTCATCAAAGGTCCACGCTTTCAAACTTTACAACATAAACCCTCTTTCTTATGAATACGCTATTTGTGTGTAGATACTGTATTACAAAACAAAAATACTTAGGTCCAAAGAGTGCCTGTGACATGAACTCCACTCGTTGCTTCAGTCCTGGGTCGATGGGATGCAAGGCCCTGCCAGAACAGAGAGTAGGCAGACTGTACCCCTCCCTTCTTAGCACACTGCTCACAAGCAGGTGGGCACAGAGTCTGCAACAGCAGAGGCTGCACAACTCAAGGAAGTGATTCTGCCCAACTCCCACATGACAACCACACCAAACCTCGAGTACCATGGCTCAGCAGTCTACACCATGAAGACTATGGCGAAGACTTTGAGGTCCTTTTCTCACAAAAGTTAAGAGTATCATTCTCAACTGAATGAAAAGTACCATATATTTTCTAAACCACCAACAAATGCATTTGATTTACCAATAAATAAAATATTATTATAGTGGTATTTATTTTTTCACTCAAGTATCAAAGCTACTCAGTGCATGAGTTTAAACAAGTTAAATTTTGAACTACATTTATGTTGAATTTTAACTCAAAACACAGGAAAACAATAAACAATGCCAGATAAGGTTGAATTAACAAGCCAGCTGATTTATTTTTCTAGCTTCTGGGGCCAGTTGCTGGTGGCTTTGTTCATTCTATAGGTTTGCAAGTATGATATACTTCACTAAGCAGGATCTGGTTTGTATATCTTTTATTTTTTCTGATATAACCTCTTCTACAAAATAGCAAAGTAACATTGGGCCAGTTCCTTAATGGCCAACTTTCTGTGGTCATTCTTTTCAGCATGTGTAATACAAGGTGCTTAAAGTATGGATTTCCTTTATAAGGAAGTAAGAAACCCCGAGAAAAGAGAGATTTTGTCTCCATCACAAAAACAAAACAATGAGTGAATAATTTTTTTAAATCAGTCAATTCAAGTGGTACATATTGCATGAATCCAAGTGTTTAATTAATATTTTCATCATCAGCCCAATGACCTTCAAATCTTTTATTAAAAATACCTGTAAATTCACAGTCAAACCCAGAATTTTATTACCCATTTCAAAATTCCACTTCTCAATATAACATTATTATAGAGGGAAGCACTAGACAGAGATTGCAAAGTCAGTCCAGAAAAACAAAGGTAAAATGAAATGGACTTTTAAAACTCTGCAGATACAGTTCCATCTGGAAAGCCATCACATACAACTGTCCAAGTGGAAAAAAAAAAATAAAAAAGGACTGAGCACTCCCTACTCATATAAGATAAAAGAAAATTCTTTTTCTACCCTAAGATTCTGAAATTGCATTTTGCTATTTCCTTCCAATGTTAGAACAGTGTGATCCAGTATTGGTGGCATGTATGCTAGCAGAGTGGAAAAAAAAACCCTCCAATCTCACACTCGGGAAGCTGATGCTGACAACATTTTTGGCAGATGGACTGTGATTTTCTCTCCTGTGAAACCAAACATTCCAATTAAAATGGTTCTCTGATTTTTGAGCAATGATAAAAGAAAAAAGAAGCTACATGAGGAGCAGACAGAAAAGTTAAACCTAAAAAAGAGCAAAAAGGAAAGAGAGATAAAGACAGGTGAGAAATATATATCAGAAATAAATGTGAAAGCTATACAACAGATAATCAGTTGGAAAAGGAGTAAAAGGAGAAATGTAGGCTGAAGATTATTTAAATAGAAGCAATGTAGTAGAAGCAGTGATATATGGCAAAAGTCAGTCTACAATACATGAAGTTTATTTACTCTGGAATACACAAATTTCTCATTTCACTAGCTGTTTTAAGCCCAGTTGTTTGGTAGTGTGTGTTGAAGTTTTCATTTTAGGACCAAAAAAAAAAAAAAAAAACCCCTCTTCTTTTATTTTATGGATTTATTGTGTGGTTCTCTCAGCTATTCAATAATCATGAATTAAACACTTTGTGTATGCCATTGACTCTGTGGTAGAATTCGCAGTACATATGTGTTTGCCAGGGAAAAAGTGTGTGTGTGTGTGCATGCACACGCACACATGTGTAGGCATGTAAAGAATATCTTAAAATCAACATATTTTTCTTGATTTTCTAGGTTAACTAGGAGTTCTCAGTGCTCTATGTGTCCCCTTGAAACAGGTATTCCATGCCTTGATGGCTAATAACTCTCAAGATAATTGACCAACTTCATGGGTAAATAGCAGGGAAGAAGTTAGCCAGAATCTGATTCCTCCTGGGAGAGAATGCTGAATTGTTGTACTGTAGACTTAATTATTCTGGGAAACACATTTCTAGGAATCCCTTTCCTAAATGATTTTCTTTATTTCTAGGGTTAGAGTCGATCAAAAGTAAAGTTGGGTGGGACTGGTGAGATGAAGTGAAGTATCAGACGTCGTGTTCTGAAATTCCCATTAGTTAGTGGTGGTGAGAGACTTACAGGGAGGTTTTGGTGGGTTCCCGTATCTTCACTCTTCCATTCTCCACTACCAGATCTCCTTCCCAATTGCCATCCTGACCAACAATGATTGGTCTCAGATCCAACACCAGACACATGGCTGCAAACTCGTAGAGGCAGAAGCCACGAAGCACCAAAGGCTTTCATGGACTTCTTCATGTGTGATTTGACACAGGATGAAATAGAATTAAAGGGCAACTACTTCTTTAAATACTGGAAGGCTGTGACCATGGTTAAGGATAGCACATCTGCATTTCCATCTATTTGTTTACAATTAAAAGAAGAAAATAGTATTTTTATTAGCAGTGCAATCCCCTTTCCAGTGCTTACCTTTCCCTGTCTCTGCCCCTTGCACACTAAGGGAAAGATATGAATGAATAATTTGATAAACTGCTTGGGACAGGGCCTGAAAGCCTCCAAGTCGAGCCTGTGTCATGCAACTGGCTGCTAACATGTCTTCTGGAGAATGGAGCTTCAACTAATTGAAGGACCTTTGTTTTGTTTAGGGGATATTGTATTTGGAAACCATTAAAATGCTAAGACAATAGGGGATATTGAAAATAACATTTTTGAAGAAATGCAATGAAAATAAGGAAGGTCTCTTAGAGAAACATAATGGAGGAACAGAAATGTCGAATACAGATTTTATTAAGTTGTTTGCAGTATTCTATCAGATATGACCTCTCTTTTTTTCCATGGAAACCGGTAAAATCTACATTTCTCACTCTTTGGTGGTGTAGATTTACTTTATCAATGTGAAATTTGCAGTGAATACAAGGATGGATAAACAACTCTTGAGTGCTTATCCAGGCACTGCTCCAGCTGGGAATATGGTGTTGACCAAGATGGCCACATCTCCCTGTCAGTCTTACAACCCTGAAGACTATGAATGGAGACAACAATATTAACAGCTCACAGTGCAGGCATAAAACAAGTGTTATTAAAGGAAATAGGGAAGAAAATCAAGAGAATGCACCTAGTCCCACAAGCTCTTACCAGCCCACTGAGAAGTGTGCTTGATCACATCACCATGAAACATTCCATGATTGTGATCCTAGAAAGGGAACTCATCTCTGTGCTTCTTTACTTATTTACAGGAAACTTGGAAAGAGTCAGGAAGCATAAAGCCAGCAATCAGGTAACTGGGGAGATGTTTGGCCTGTGAAACAATTTGCTAGAAAAACAAATATCCGGGGCTTGAACCTACAAACAGATTCACTGGAGTTAAATTCAGAGGGATATATTATGATGTCCAACTGCACAGTGGACCTAACCACTAGGTGATTATGAAAGTCCCCTATATTAACTATGGAAATTTGGCTTCAGTACTACCTAGACAAATGGTGCTTTTCCATGGGTAGAACCTTGCCAAGATCTTCACAAAGCCATTTTCACAGTTTCCTCTTGGGAAACAACGGTAATCCTAATAATAACGTAAAAGATCTCTTTATGAAAAAAAGGTTTCTGTCTAATAGGACAGGTCATTCTAGCAAATAGTAAAATCTGGGGAAAACATACAAAGAACAGTAACTCACCTAGATTTGAAAAGTGGGGATGGGCACGTTTTACATTTATTCTAATTGTAAGCAAAAGTTGCGGGACATCTGGTACTATGGAAACAGTGACAGATGCTAGTAAAGTTGTGCTGTGATTATAAATTGTATTTTCATATTGAAGACCTCTAGGTGTTTACATACGCTGGTAGAGTTCAGTTTCACTGCAGGGATCTCAGAAGTAGGGTGAGGCATTAAGCCCTGAATATTTTAATTGGTCTCAATATACTAATTGGTCTGAAAATGACAGTTATGTAAAAATCTCAGGGTCAGAGATCTGCATTATTTACTGGTGAAACAAGTTTTCAATTCTTTAACTAGAATAAAGAAATGAGTATTTGCTGAGTGACTTGCTTGCAGAAAAGTTGAGATAAATTCATAAATAAATCTATTACAAAGCCTGACTGAAAACGAATGGCTTACTTTACACATTAGGACTTAAAATGCAGCACTCCATATGGGAAAGGCATTCTTAATCTCTTCATTGTTATTTAATTTAACATGTGGAGCAACAGGTTCATTAATCACTTCATATTAATATTCAAGTGAGAGTGAAGATGCTGGGACACGTTCTATTCCAAATAGCGATTCTATTTGGCTGGGCGTTGTCTTAGGCATGATGGAGAGGGAACAGGAAGGAAGATTAACTTTCTGCTACACTTATTTCTGCTTCATTATCCTGGAAGTCTTTTATGAACCATTAGTAATACTTAACCAGGGTAAAGCCAATCTTGATGTCTGCCCAATTTAATAAACAAAACCTCTTTAATTTAAAGCTTATGTGTTGGCCAGACACGGTGGTTCACACCTGTAATCCCAGCATTTTGACAGTCCGAGGTGGGTGGATCACCTGAGGTAGGGAGTTCAAGACCAGCCTGACCAACATGGAGAAATCCCATGTCTACTAAAAATACAAAATTAGCCGGGCGTGGTCGTGCATGCCTATAAACCCAGCTACTCAGGAGGCTGAGGCAGGAGAATCGCTTGAACCTGGGGGGCGGAGGTTGCAGTGAGCTGAGATCGCGCCACTGCACTCCAGCCCAGTAACAGAGTGAGACTCTGTCTCAAAAATAAATAAATAAATAAATAAATAAATAAATAAATAAACTTATATGCTTGTTTATTCAAAACAGTCATATTTACAAATCATGATAAGAAAGAATGATCATTTATTTCATCCTACATTTTCTCTCATCTTTGGAGGCATATGGTAGCTAATAAGAAAAGAAAAGAAAAGAAAAACTACTATTTATTGAGATCTTGAGCTAGGCCTTTGCTTTTTATTTGCATTGTTATCTAATAAGTTAACATACATGTGAAAAAAAAATCTTCTCTTCTAATATACTCTCTGAAAACTGGAATACATATAGTGAAACATAAGAAAAGGATTATATAACTTACAATAGTTAGGTTGCCTGTTGAAAGTTTAGATTGTTATTGGTGAATATTAAGCATTATGAAATATTAATGGTAATGTGTTGTAAGCTTTAGAAAGTTAATCTTATTTAATTCTCATGATGGCTCTATGAGGTAAATATTTTTATTCCTATTTAATAGTCAAGGCAGCTGAGGTTTAGAGATGTTAAGTAATTTGCCCAAGGTCACACAACTAATAAGTGTTAGAGGTGAAAAATAAAATGCAATGCTTGTGCTCTTATACATGCAAAAAATTGCATAAGTAGTCTCTTCAGTAAATTTACTATGCAGCATTTAGTAGCCTGTAACCTAAAAAAGTAAGAATATGCTGTGCTTAAAGTCCAAGAATTTTCCAAGACCTCTTTGGTTGTTCGGTGAAGCCTGGAGAACCCCCTCAAGTATATCTAAGGCTAGTTAATAGCTCAAACAGGATCATATTCACATAATGCAGGCTTTATCTTTTGCTGCCTTGTTAAGATTCAGTTTGAGCAGCCTTCCAGGTTAGGGGAGGTTGTCATTGGTTCTTGCCTTGACCTGACATATAGCCATCGTTCATTTCCAGGATGAATTTCTGTTCTGTATTAATGAACAAGGTGCAGAACATGAAATACAGGACTCATTACATTTCTTGGTTTTCTTCAAGATCTTTGCTTACTTCTGGCTTAAATCAAATGAAATTGTTTTCCTGGGTCTTGGTGACCCTCTAAAATAAGGAGACTCTTTGGGAAGCTCAGTTGGCAGTCTGGGTTGTACAGAACTTTTAGCTCACTCCTGCCTCTCATTTTCATCACAGAAGATCCTCACCTTTTGAGCATCTTATTCAATACAATTTGAGTTATGGGAACTTTTTAATTACCCTTTCTGGAACCCTTTGTTTGAAATCTTCATTTTAGTTTTCAGAAGATAATGCAATCAAAACTGGACTTATTTTATTTTAAATATCTTCCTAAGTCCCTTCTTTTTAGTAACACCAATACTAGTTATGCTTTTTAGCTTCTTCTGCCCTCTAGGTAGAAGGTGTCATCCAATTATGTCGCTACAAGTTTCCTTATGTCTCTTTCCTTATAAGTTAAAATCTCATTAGATTTTATGAAAAGTTTCAGTAATATGCAGTGTATTGCAATTACGAGCCTTGGCGTCTGTCTTAATATGATCTTGCTCGAACTTTGAAAATACTTATTCATAGCTGTTTGCCTCATTATGCACCAAGCTAAAGCTTGCTAAAACTGAAACCATTTTCATGCCTCCACGATGTCATGGAAGGAAGTGAGGATCTCCTAGTAGATTTCCTTTTTTCCTTCTAAAGCAGTCAAGAGCACAGCAAGATGTTGCTGAAGGTATTTAAAGGAAAATGAGGTCATGGTGTCACCAGAAAAGGTCACTGGGCTGGCTTCCGTGAGTCTTCACATCTGACACTCAGCTCCTCAGGCTCAGAAGCTCAGTCTTGACAGGGGTAACCCAGATTTGATTAGATCTGAATATGGAGTTACATTACACTTCTCATGAAATAATTTTCAAAACAAGAATGACAAGAAATTAATTTGCAATGAGGTAGATAACTGCCAGTGGAATCAGACACTCACATCTTCTGGTAGATATTCTCTTCTTGTAACATAGTAAATGAAAGCCAAATCATGGTCAAAAGTTGCTTAGCATTTTAACAGGTGCATCATTATGATTTGAATACTTAAGACCCTCAAGATAGCACAACCTGATGCATTTATGTAAAATGTGCTTGTTACTAAGACCATATAGGCTGAATCCTTGATTAGGCCTCCTTCTCCCAGGGCACTGCTTAAACAGACATTGCCAGTACTCCCATGTTCTAGTACTAACCAATCCATTCTTCTGCCCTACAATTGATTTAAAAAGTAGAACTTTTTGGGACCATTATATTTTAAGTGGTTTTTGTTAAAAGGACTATTGTATCTTAAAGTGACTCTGACCTCATCCGTAAGGTGTTCATTTGTAGTTATTCCTCTTAAGAGTAATTTTATTTCCCCATTTCACCACGTTCACCTCCAATTCAGTGCATGATGGTGCACTGGAAAGAGTTTATCACAACAGGAGTCATGAGGCCAACTCCAAGAGACAAGGAATACATATACAAGGACACACACTTGGTACGGTCAGACAAATAACAGGATGTTTCACTTTGTATTAAATTAACTTGGGATAATTCCCAAGATCCAAGGTAGATCTCAAAAATGAACCTTCTAGGAAAGAACAAAAGCATCTACTGGAACCTGGCAGGAATTTCAGGGACGCTTGTTCTAGAACTCAAGATAAACTTTAAAATGGAAGTACAAAAACAATTCTTTTTAGGAAAAGAATTGTTAAGTGAATCTTAAGGCATCAGAGCATGATGCTTATGATCATGAGTTTTAGGGTCAACCAGAGCTGGCTCTGCCACGTCTTAACTGTGCGAATTTGATTAGCTTCAATAACCGGAGCCTGTTTTTCTTTATCTGCAAGACTGGGGAAATAAGAATGCCTACCTCACAAGGGCAGGAGGGTTAAAAAAGGCAGTTCATGAAAAGATTGAATTCAGTATGTGTACTGCAGACAGCACTCAGTAAGTGAAAGTTGCTATTTATTGGATTAAAGGGTTGGTTTTATTTTATTTAAGAAGGATTATCAATTGAGGGCTTCAGAGCAACACTGTACTTTATTTACAAAATAAAAATATGCAATTGGGAATTAGTTTCAGCCATTACGAACTACGAAATATTGTGTACATATATATACATATATATGTGTATATAATGCCTGTATGTATATATATATTATGTTTATGAGCATATACGATACTTAATTGTGAAATGCTCCTTAACTGATTGTGAAGCAGGTTTATTGCGCACTGTTTGTTGTTTATTGTGCACTGGCTCCCAGCTTGTCTGAGTCTGGTGAGACAAAACACACTCATATGCAACAAGTTATATGAAGTGGATTCATTTCTTACAGATAGGCAGCAAGAGACAGCAGATATCAAGGATTCATTGTGAAACAGTCCCCCCAGGTTCAGAAAACTACCAAGAGAGATGGAGTCTCAAGTCCACTGGCACCATTTATACTGCTGAAGAGGGATCCTGAAAGGCAGCCAACCCTAGGTTATATAACTTGTGGTCACAGGAATCACGGGGCTAAAGCACTGTGGACATCCTCTTTTTAGGTGGGAGGACTGGAATGGAGGCCAGACTGCCCCATCTAGTTCCTCCCTATCTCAGGGCATTGCATTCCCAGCACATTCTACAATTATTCTTGAGAACTACAAGTGAGAAAAGGGGAAGAACAGAGCAGGTCCAAGGTCACACAGAGAACTGCCTAGTTGCAACAAACACGTATGCCACAGAAATGAAGCAGTTTAAGGGACGGCCTCCAGAACCTGAACGCATGCTTTTCAGTGCTGTCTTCTTCCCTTACTGGCTGTATGGACTTGGGCAACTTATGCGGTCTCTTTGGACATATAAAAGGCTTGTATTTACCCTCTACGTTTCTAGATTTGAACCCTGTAAAATGATCACCAGGTAGGAAAAGAGTCACAGTTATATAAGAACATTCAGAATTACATTCTCTAGTAATCTAAATTAATCTTATCTCTATTTGATAGTTTTCTGGTTCTCTCACTATACTTGGGCATGGATCTCAACAAAAAATACTGCCTCTCTGGGCACATGATTTTTGTTCTTTACAATAAGATATAGCATAATGGCTGACTTCAATTCATTTTCCAGCTATGCCTTATTGAGTTTGTGACCTTGGACAAACTTCTCAAAACCTTGATTTTCTTTTTAGTAAAATGGTTATAATAATAATGACCCTTTCATAAGGTTTTTGTAAGAAGTAAATGGTGTAATGCATATAAAACATTGAATACATATTTGACCTGGAGGAAATATTCAATGAATTCTATTTTTTATTTTAGTACAGAACATACAACAGTGATTGTAAACAGTATTGAGTATGGAAGGAGAATGTGTAGTGTAAAAAAAAAATCCTCCATTTAGTAATAAATTATTTTATCTGGGGAAAAAAATCAGGTATATTTTAAGGGCAATAGAAGCTACAAAAAGTAGTCAGGTAGAAAGGGGGAACTCTTGGCTGAAGGACACATATAAAAGGATGCAGAGACATTAAAAGGTGAAGATGTCACCCTAGAAGTGAGTGTTACAGAATCTCAAAAAAAATATTTTGATAATATCACAAAAGAGGATGAGTTTCTGTTTTTACTAAAAAAAATGATTCCAATGGTCAGGTAAGATAAGATTTACAAATAATGGAATATCTTTATTAACCCATGGAACTAATGCAAAGTTCATTTTTATTTTAGATAAAGTGCCTATTTTACATAGATTTCCTCTTAACAGAGAACGTCCATCGGGATCTTTTCATGAACAGATAGCTTAGCAAGCTTAGCTGGGCCTGTTGTAGAACTTGTTGATTAAATGACTGGGAATCCTAAAAGGGTTGGGGTAGTGTCTCCGCATGGTCAGAGGTGTCAGTGACATCTACCCTCTTTTTCTTTTCTTTTTTTTTTGTTACTTAATTTAAGCAGCATCCCTCTGCTTTTCTTTGTCTTTATTAATTGTCCTTTGAAAGATGGTAAATATATGGCTTCTCCAGTTGTGGTCTTTGGTGCTCCTTCAGAGAAGGCTGGTATTTACCCTCTAGCTTTCCCGATTTGAACTACGTCAAATAATGACCTTGCCCCACCCAGCTCTTTTTCTTTTTTGGAGAGGTTGTCACCATGAGCCCCTTTGGAAAAAAATCCATCTTTCTCTATTATTGGGGGAAAGAACACTGAAGAAACAAGACTTTATTCCCATGAAAAATTTACAAAGAAAATCAAGAATTTTTTAAAAAATTTGAATACTTTCTAATCAAATGTACTATACACATCAGGAAAAGGAAAAATTAAACTGGATCTATTAGGTTGGTGCACAAGTAATTGCAGTTTTTGCCATTAAAAGTAATGATACAAGTAATTTGCCGTTACAAAAACTGTAATTACTTGTGAACCAACCTAATAAGAGTCTTAGAGAAGATCTAATAAAGGAAGCAAAACTTAACTTCTACTTTGAAAGATTAAAAAATGCTAACCCATTATACTTTGAGTTCTTAAGATGTTAGGATGTGTCTGGATGGTACTAAGTACTTATTTTTATTTTTTTAAAATAATTTCAACTTGTGTTTTAGATTCGAGGGGGTACATGTTTAGGTTTGGAAAACTACAAAGCCTCTTTGATATGGATGAGGGGTCCCCAACCCCCAGGCCATGGACCAGAACTGGTCTTTGGCCTGTTGGGAACTGGGTCACACAGTAAGAGGTGAGTGGTGAACAAGCGAGCAAACTTTCATCTGTATTTATAGCCACTCCCCATCACTTGCATTACTGCCTGAGCTCCACTTCCTGTCAGATCAGCAGCGGCATTAGATTCTCATAGGAGTGTGGACCCTATTATGAACTGTGCATGTGAAGGATCTAGGTTGTGAGCTCCTTATGAGAATCTAATGCCTGATGATCTGAGGTAGAACTGAGGCAGTGATGCTTGCCCAGAGGAATGGCTGCAAATACAGATTAACATTAGCAAAGAGCTTTGACTTCACAGAGACCATAATAAATCATTTGCTTGCAGACTGTTCTAGTTCATTTTCATGCTGCTATGAAGAAATACCCAAGACTCGGTAATTTATAAAGGAAAGAGGTTTAATTGACTCACAGTTTCACATGGCTATGGAGGCCTCAGGAAACTTACAATCATGGTGGAAGGGGAAGCAAACACGTCCTTCTTCACATGGCAACAGGAGAGAGAAGTGCTCAGCGGAGGGGGAGAAAAACCTTTATAAAGCCATCATATTCCAAGAAAACTCACTCACTATCACAAGAACAGCATAGGGGAACACCCCCATGATCGAAATCACCTCCCACAAGGTCCCTCCCCCAACACGTGGGTATTACAATTTGAATTACAATTCAAGATGAGATGTGGGTGGGAACACAGAGCCAGATCATATCACAGACTCATATCAAAACCCTTTTAGTAGGTGGCAGGTAACAATTAAGCTGCCCCTGGTGGCAGGCTTTATAGTGCCAAGTGAGTTCAGGTACTTCAATTGTATAGCTACATCTCATGGCAGGCTTTATGTCAGAATCTGACATTTATTTTAGTTTGCACATGGCCCACCCATTATTTTACTTACCACTTTCATGTACATCTCTTTTTTCCACTGTGCACTCATCTCCAGCACGCTTTTGGTAAGCCCACAAGCTAACCCTAGCCAAAATGGGTATAGAACAAACATCACTGGAGATCTTCCTTGCAAAGGGAGAAAGACCAAATAATGAGAGAGCAGAAGACTCTAAGACTGCCAACAAAAAGAAAGCTGCATTTAAAGGAAAATACCAAGGGTCCTACATAAATTACACGTTCATTACAATAGTTGATTCACATTCTCCAAGCCCACTTTGTATAATATGTGGGGACTAGCTATCCAACAAAGCTGTGAACTCTTTAAAACGGCTTCGCCACATGGAAACCAAGCACCCTGTATTAAATCACAAGACTTTGGAGTTTTTCAAAAGAAATAAACATGAAAACAGAGAACAGAAGCAATTATCGAAGGCCACCATTTCATCAAATGTGTCTGCACTGAGAGCATCATTCTTAATGGCTAACCACATTGCTAAAGTAAAGAAGTCCTTTACTATTGGTGAAGAGTTGATCCTGCCTCCTGGTAATAATATTTGTTGTTAACTTTTAGGAGAGGCTGCAGGTCAAAAGGTGGCACATGTTCCTCTTTTGGCTGGCACCGTAACTAGATGAATTGATGAAATGGCAGAGGATATTGAGGCACAATTGCTAAAGAGGATGAATGAGCCACTGTAGTATTCAATCCAGGTTGATGAGTCTACCCATGTTGACAACAGGTAACAATGCTTGTTTTTGTGCAATGTGGCTTTTAGGAGGATGTGCGTGAGGATAAGTCATGTGCATTTTGTTTTGCCAACCAACACTACAGCTGCACAACTATTCAAGTCTTTGAATAATTATGTATCAGGACAACTGAATTGGTCATATCGTGTCGGTGCGTGCATGGATGGAGCAGCTGTCATGGCTGCGTGGCTTTCTGGTTTCACTGCTTGGGTCAAAGAGGTTGCTTCTGAATATGAGTCTACGCACTGTGTCCTTCATAGAGAAATGCTGGCTAGCCAAAAAAACGTCAGCAGAACTTAACAACATTTTGCAGGATGTGATTTTAAAATTAACAACCACGTTAACGTACATGCCCTTAACTCACGTCTGTTCATGCAGCTCTGTGAGGAGATGGACACAGAGCAAACACATCTCTCAGACACAGAAGTGAGATGGCTTTCTATACGTAGATCCCTGGCCAGAGATTTTGAGTTATGAGAGCCACTTCAGAAATAGCACATTTCAATGACACAGAATGGGATACAAAACTTGCTTACTTATGTGACATATTCAACCTGCTCAACGAACTCAATCTGTCGCTTCAGTGGAGAATGACCACTGTGTTCAAGTTGGCAGATAAAGTGGCTGCATTCAAAGACAAACTGGAATTATGGGGCAACAAGTGAACATCAGGATTTCTGGCATGTTTGAAACATTAGCAGAGATTTTGGAAGAGATGGAGCCAGAGGCTTCTTTCTCCCAGCTTGTGCATGATCACCTAATTCAGCTTACAAAAGAATTTGAGCATTACTTCCCAACCACAGAACACCCCCAGACTGGGAAGGAATGGATCCGTGATCCATTTGTGAATAAGCCAAGTGAATCGACTTTGTCTGTGCTAGAAGAGGATCAACTGCTCGAGATCACAAATGATGGTGGCCTTAAAAGGTATGTTTGAGACAACTTCAAATCCTAATCATCAAGGTCAAATAGGTGTGACAAAAGCATCCAAAAGCCTGCTTCCATTTCCAACATCCTATCTTGGTGAAGCAGGGTTTTCTGCAGTGACAGCAACCAAAATGAGATTACGGAGTAGACTGGACATAAGCAACATAAGCAACACATTTCGGGTGTCACTGTCTACCATCACCCACAGATGGGACCATCTAGTTGCAGGAAAACAAGCTCAGGGCTCCCACTGACTCTACATTATGGTGAGTTATATATTTATTTCATTATTATATATTACAATGTAATAATAATAGTATAAAGTGCACAATAAATGTAATGTACTAGAATCATCCCAAAACCATCTCCCCAACCCCTGGTCCATGGAAAAAGTTGTCTTCCATGAAACCAGTCCCTGGTGCCAAAAAGGTTGGGGACTGCTGGTATAGATTATATTACTGCCTGGATTTTACAGACAAGGAAATTGAAGCTTATTATTGTAACTTGTGTCTAAAGCTTGTGAATAGAGGAGCAGGCTTTTGAACTTGGACATTTTGTATTTAGCCACCTATTCCTAACATCTCCCTTATACTACTAGAGAGAAGGCAAGTGGTTTCTTTGCTGTTCAGGTATATGCCAGGTTCAACAGTTCCCAATGTTACCTCTTTATGAAACAACAATGGCAACCAAAACAAAAACCTTATGCCACAATTATTCTGTCATCTGGATGTTGTTGTATTCTTCCATGCTAAAAGGGTAGCTTTGTGATATAAGTTGGAATTTTGTAGCTTGCCTTTACTTGTACACTCAATGACCCTGAATCAGAAGAAGTAGCTATCAAAGGTTTGAGAGTTATCTGTGCCAATGATATAATGCTTTTCTTCAAGGTACATTCATTCATCAGATATGTATTGAATCCCATAATGGGAAGGGCATTATAAAGTTGGGTGGGCATAGGGAGAAATATTTGATGTAGTTTCTACTCACAAAGACCTCATAGCCATTTGGGACAGCAGACCACAAATGAATAAATTACAACCTAGCATAGTGTGTGCCGTAATGTAAGCTGCTAGATACTTTTTTTCTTACTTCAACTTATTGCAGAACTAAAACCAATATCTTCATTTTGGCTCTGACTTGGAATAAATCTTACTCTGCCTCCTGGGACAGTGAAAGCTCTGTTGAGAAACTAATAAGTTCGGCCCAAATTCTCAGCAGTGTGCTTGATGAAAAATAACAAATTTTGAGAAGAAGAAAAGAAGTAAGGCAGTTCAGCTTACTAGAACTTGATCCAAATATTCAGAGAAAAATTCAGGCTTTGGTTATCTAAACAAGCAGGTGGAGACAGTTAAGAAATTAGCATAAGTTAAATAATGAAACATTCATTATTTCACAATTGAATTACTAAAATCCTTGGCATAAACATACTTCTATGTCACATGCTATTTTATTGTTGCTAATAGAAAACAGTCATGTATAATTTAGAGAGATACTTTAATTAGAATATCAATTATTTCCAAATATATAAAAATAATAACAAATAGACAAGGGCATCTTTAGAGCCCTAAATTTCAGCAGCACTGTATGTTTAGTGGAATGTGACACTTTAGAATGAGTTTTCAGACATTCCAATATATTTCTGTACTTTGGATTTTTATAGAGTGGAATGCCTTGGTCATTTTTTAGAGTTTTGATAGTATATTCAGTATTCTTGCAAACTACGGATAAAGTAAATGACTGTTCAAATATTTGACAAGCACTTTATAAAGAAAAATATGAATGATATAAAATAGAGAATATAGTATAATGAAAAGGCACAGCAAATACCTTCTGTTATATACACTCATATTTCTCAGTCTCTATAACGATCCTCTAAGATATTATGCAATATTGGGAGACAGATGAATTGACAAGAGATAGTGAAAACGATATTTATAATGGCATCACCAGCAGAGCAGGAAAAGCCACAGAGCAGAGCAGATGGGGAATAAAGTTCTTTGTTCTATTCGGTGGACTTCCATTCACAATTTTTCCCATAATTTGTAGGTGGACCTCATTCAGCCTGCAGCTTCCCTCTAATCATGGGAGGCAGAGTAGCAAATTGGACAAGCTCTCTGTGAATTCCAAAAGCTTTGGATCTGAACTCTGGCCCTGCCTTTTACTAACTTGGGGATTTTGGACAATCAGTTTCATCCTTCTTTTACAAAATGAGAAAAATGACGTATGCATAATTCCTATCATTGTTGTAAGGATTAAATTTGATGACATATGCCATGACAAGATTTTTCTCCCTACTTTACCAGCTACTCAAGCCCTAAACCAGCTGTCTCCAATTTCTCATCTTTGCTCAATGTCCTCATGTAATCCACAGGAAAGTCCAACTAACTCTGCTTCCAAGACAAATCTTGTATCTGTTCATTTTTCTCCATCTTCCCTGATACCTTCTACACCAGGAATTCTTAATCTTGGAACTATTGACATTTGGAGTCATGATCAGCTACATAATTCACAAGACCCATTGCGAAATGAAAGTGTAGGGTATCTTGTTCAAAATGAAGGAAAAATATGACCCTAAAGGTACTAAAGTGTCACGACTTTTCCTTTCCTCTGCAGTCTCTCTCTTGACTTGTCATCAGGTTAATTTGCTATTCAAATATAATTCTAAGTTTTAAAAAATGTTAAATTACTAGCATGAATGTTATCACTCATCTTTATATTATACAATGCCAGCTTTAAATGCAAATATATGACTATTTAACTTGCATGCAGAATCGCCAAAATTATACAATTAGTATTTCATAGCTTGTGTATGTATATGTATTTTGTTCTTACCAGAACAGTAGAAACACTGCACAAAACTAATTCAACTGCTTTCATTTAACTTCCTGATGTGTGCATATTCTAAATTCACTCTGATTAAGAAAGAAGAAAAAGGAAAAGGAAACAAGGCTTATCCTATCTTTCTTCCACTTTCCTTCAATATTATTATTTTCATAGTAAGTAGTTGGCTAACACAGAGAAGTAACAAGTAAGAAAGGATACATAAGGTTCCTAAGCATGTGTGTTTCTTCGAAAGCCTTGGCCTACTTTCTCCATTGGAAGCCATTTCAAGCAGAAAACATAGATACTTGAGGCCTCCGGTCCTGCTTACTCAATCACAGATGTAACATAGTGACATTGAACTCACTGTGAGCCTTGTAGAAATCCCACAGACCATAGATCCGCTGGAATTCTGTGCTCATTGTTTATGGCCAACAGTGAACGGCGGACACACACAATGCCCCTGTCTCTATGGCATACAGGCATGCTTTATTGTCCCAAAGGATTTCACTTACAAATCATAAGTTCCATGATAATAATTTTTATGAAATGTCAAGATGACAATAGCATCACGATAAATCTAGTGTGGCATCTTTGAGTGTGGGTGGGACCCTGTGGAGTCATGAAGCCATGAAGCTGTCCCCGTTAACATGGGAAAATTCTTTTTGTGGGGGGCTCTTCTGCACACCATATGATGTTTAGAACCATTCCTGGCCTCTACCCACTAGATGCTAGCAGCAGTGACCAAAGGTGAATATTTAAGGAGAGAAATGTTACAACTCCAATGTCTCTTTGGCCATTTTTAATACTGGAATAGTCAAAGATCTGGAGAAAGAAGGCTGCTGGGAATCAGAGTGCCCCACTCTCTACTTATGTCCAGATGATAAATTAAAATGGAAATGACATTACCAAAAAAAACTTTAATAACAAGAAAAGAAGAAATAAAAGCCCTTAAGAAATTAATCAATAAAGACTTCAGAATAGGAAACATCAAGATGATTTTAAAATGATTTAGTCAAACATTTGCCAAGTGTGAAAAAAGTCACTCAAACGGATTGATTAGCTGAATTTATTTAAGACAGTTGAGCTCATCTCCTCTTAGACACAATCTAAAGATCCATTATACACTCATGTTTTTTAATAGATTCATTTATATTTTATTGATACATAATAACTGTACATAGTTATGGGGCACATATATTCTGATACATGCATACAAAGTGTAATAATCAAACCAGGTATTTAGGGTATCTATCACCTCAAACATTTATCATTTCTTTGTGTTGGGAAATTTCAAGTAGTCTCTTCTAACTATTTTGAAATATTCATGAAGTTATTCCTAATAATAGTCTCTCTACTGTGCTATAGAACACTAAAACTTATTTCTTCAGTCTAACAGTTGCACGTTTATGCCTATTAACCACCTCTTCATCATCCTTAGCCCTTCACACACTTTCTAGACTCCAGTGTCTAACATTCTACTCTCCAGCTGCATGAGATCCATTTTTTTAGTTGCCATATATGAGTGAGAACATGAGCTATCCATCCTTATGTGCCTGGCTTACTTCACTTAACATAATGACCTCCAGTTCCATCCATGTTGCTGCAAATGAAAGGATTTCATTCTTTTTTTGTGGCTGAATGGTATTCCATTGTGTATATATGCCACATTTTCTTTATCCATTCATCTGTTGATGAACACTTAGACTGATTCCATATCTTGGCTATTGTAAGTAGTGCTACAATAAACATGGGATTGCAGATTATATATTCATTTACAAGACAAAATATACTTGGCCCCCTTTATTTGTAACATATATACCTGAAATTTTCATGTGAAAGGTATGGGATTTAAGAGAAAGGTGTGTGATTATCTTTTCTAGGAGTTAGTGACAGTTTGGCAAATAAGTTTTTCATCTAGACTACTGACTTATTTATATCCTTTGGATTTGAAAGAAGATTCAAATAGTAGATGACTTCACAGGTAAATTCTTTTTTTTTTTTCATTTTTTTTCTACATTTGTCTCCCTCCCTACTTCTTCTCTGAAATTAGCATATATTTATTAAACACTACTGTCAGGTAGGGCATGAGTGCGAAATATTTTATAAGACATAGTCCCTACCCTCAAGGAATTTACTGTCTAGCTATGATTCATGTTTTTGTTATTTCACTAGTTTTCTCCTCAATCATCTGTCACTATCATCACTCCTATTATCATCTCATGAATATCCTAATTTCCCTTTAGCACTATATTATAAACCTATTGGACCAATTTATCTCAACTCTTTTAAAACTTTCACTTAGTAGTCTCCAAGAAATTTCAGGACTTGAGAATAATGAAAATTAATATCTTTAAATTTGCAACGTGCCTTTTCTTTCACTGCAAAAGCAAACAGTGCACAATTTTCGAATGACTTCAAAGTGCAAATGGGAAAGCTGCAATTGTAATGAGGAAAAAGAAATCAAATAGGATTCAAATATTGTCAAGTAAGCCTTCATCGTGGTGGGGGTCTTGGTGTCTTTGTGGTGATTGAAATACTTGACAGAAAATTGAAAGAAAAAAAACAGAAAATGTGATTGAGAATTGATTTAAGAGGGTGACAAACTCAACAGGACTTCTAAGTCATCTTATGTAAAATGCTGTGGAAGACAGTGACCACTTCCTCTCACTGACAGGCGGTTCCCTGTGCTGTCAATGAGCTTCCCTCAAGGCTGGATTAAATACACTCTGGGAACTTTTGAATTAGGCAGGAGAACCTGCTCAGTAATTTAGAGAATTTAGCACTAATAAAGACTAAGATGATTGTACATAATGGGATTGTAGGATTTTAGCAATCCTGGTTTAGATGACAAATGCTACCACGTAAAGCGTTTTATGACAACATATGTTATAAGAGATTATACTTATTCCCTGTGGAGCTTTTTCACCTCCATTTTAGCTACTCTTAGAATCTGTACTGAATAAGGGAAATAATTGAGGCTGTGAAATTTGATTCTTTTCAAACACTATGGGGAAAATGTTAAATAAATCTGCATAAAAGACATCCACAACATAAAGTTGAGAAGCTTAGCTTACGTGTTAATCATTGCTTTGTGCTGTTTGCAAAACAACCACCAAATTTGGCCCAAGACAAAGAATATTGCCTCATTAACAAATTTGGCAACGCTACAGTGACAGTAATCACATTTTTATTCTATTTTCATATTCGAGACTTCAAAGCAGCTTAAAAAATATTCATTAACAAAGCAGGTTGCAGCATGCCAACCAGTAGCTGCATCAGCATAGTCAGATATAATTTTGTGAGCTTTACCTAGGAGGGCAGAGTTTAGCTATAGCCACAGGAAATATACACACACAAAGAAACATGTTAGATAAGATTAATGAAAATGTTCTCTTAAAAATAAATGAGTTTCTCAATGAAAGGGGAAAAAATCCTGCAACATAATTTGTCCTTTGGATTTTAAGTGGTGTGGTCAATCATTAATGAGAAACATAATTTAAGAAACTTTACAAAGACTGAATTGTTGCTAAATACAAATATATAAAATGGTGAGGAAATATACAAAATGTGCCAAGTTTTTCAAACGGATTCAAAAAATTATCAAGTACATTAAAACATTTAATTACAAAAGTAAAAAATGCAGTAATATGAATGAAACAATGAGAGAAATCAATTTCAAAACCCAGTGCGATGCGGATGTGGTGGAATTGTATGCATTCGTATTGAAAAGGGTATGAAAGTGAGAAAATCAGAAACTGGTGTCTCAAAGAAGATTGAGGCAAAGGGCTAGACTGGAGCAAGGACACGAACTAGCAGCTGTCTTAAGTCAGTACTTGCTTATCTTTCTGATGCCAGTGTGACTGCAAGTGTGACCCAGGTTACCTAGGTTTGTGTACTCAATCCCATATGTCTGAAATGAAGCCAATCTTACCTGTATATTTTGTGGGTGATGCATTCATCTATACACATAAACATGAAGATCTAGGAAATGATTTATTTTGGCTTCCAAATTAAACCAGAAGTGCCAATGTAGAGGAGGATCAGTAGCCCACTGTGCTCTTGATAATGGGTGATGTGCCTCACTCATAGGTCTGGCCATTGGCTGGGGCAATGGGAGCTATTGGGGTCCCATGTGGCCAACATCTGGTAGATATCTTAGGTTTCCTCAGATAATATTCAGATGCCAAAAAATCATGGTCCTTTAGTACATTTGTTGTAACTGATTACATTGAATCCACTCTGAGCCATTTGAACACCTTATCTACCATTTACCTATCTATCACCTATCTTTACCTATCTGTCTGTCTGTCTGTCTATCTATCTATCTATCTATCTATCTATCTATCATATCTCTCTGTCTGTCTGTCTATCTATCTATCCATCTATCTATCCTATCTATCTAAGTATCTATCTATGTATCATCTATCTATCTATCTGTCTGTCTGTCTGTCTGTCTATCTATCTATCTATCTATCTATCTATCTATCTATCTATCTATGCTATCTATAAACTAACAGGTTTAGTTAGTGAAATGAATTAATAAGACCTGAGGAATAATTATGTGACCTAGACTAGGGTCACATTAGATTATAGAGATCATGAAACAAGTTGTTTGCATCATTGGATATGACTGTTTCTCAAAGTTTTTCTAATGTCACAGTTGGTACTGGAAATGTTCTTTCCTCGGGTGAATTCAAAGAGACACCAGAGATCTTAACAGTCCATAGTGTATATGCTGAGAGCAAATAAACTGAGTCAGTAATATACATAATGATCATCAAAATCCAAACATTGACCAGATAGCTCAAGGTGTTCTAAAGCTATAATAGGCATGTAACACATTTTCTGTCCTGCAACAAGTATGTAAGTATGTGTGTTTATATGCATGTTTGTTTTAAAAAGTGTATCTTTTTAAATAAAAGACTTGGAGTCATTTATAAGTAATGCATATAATGAAATAAAAATAAATAAATAATAAAATGAATGCCATTTGATCTAGCAATCCCACTACTAGGTATCTACCCAAAGGAAAATAAGCCATTATATGAAAAAGACACACACATATGCTTATAGAAGCACAATTAGCATTTGCAAAAATATGGAACCAAATTGAATGCCTATCAGCCAACAGGTGGATAAAGAAAATATGGTATATATACACCATAAAACACTACTCAGCCATAAAACAGAATGAAATAATGGCATTTGCAGCAAGTTGGATGGAGCTGGAGGCCATTATTCTAAGTGAAATAACTCAGGAATAGAAAACAAAGTAGTGTATATTCTCACTTATAAGTGGGAGCTAAGCTATGGGGATGTAAAGGCATAAGAATAATGTAATGGACTTTGGGGACTATGGAAGAAGAAGAAAGGTGGGAAGGGTGGGAGGGGAGGTGAGGGCTAAATGACTAAATATCAGGTATAACTGGGTGCAGTGTACACTGCTCAGGGGACAGGTGCACCTAAATCTCTAAAATCACCGCTAAAGAACTTATCCATGTAAACAGAAAACCCCTGTACCCCAAAAACAATTAAATAAAAAAATATGAATGCAGGCAGAGATATCTACCTCATAATCTAATGCCAAGACTACTGGCTAAATATAAATACATAAATTTATTTTGTCTAAAAAAAAGAGAATGCCTAAAATATAATGAAGCCAAGACTAGGAAAAATATGAATGAAATAAAATGCTAAGTAAAAGAAAGGAGAAAAAAACAAATCTTATATGAAGGATGCCAAGCATTCACAATTTCTATAGTTTACTTTCCTGATGTCTAAAGCTAAAAGAGAAAAACCAGCTCTATTGGGCTATTCAGTTGTAAAATGTCAAATTTCATTCTTACATCCATTCTGAGAAAAGAAAGGCAAGTTCTTACTTCCAAAACTGTAAGTGAAAGAAATGCAAGCACAGAAAAATCAGATGCCAAATACAGAATCACACAATTGCTTATTGAAAGATTTGGGATTAAGACCAAGCATATCAGTTCCTGGCCAAGTGTATGTTTCCTAATCTCCCAGGTTAGCTAGGCCAGTAGCTACTACGCATTATCTGGGGTTAGAGGAGACTGGTTTTGCTTCCCAAATGGCAAGTGATACAGCAATGGACAATGACACAAGAGCTCTGTGCTCGTGTTTCTTATAGTCTGTAGTCACAGGATCACACATGGCACCCAGAGAACACTCGGGACTCAACAAGTGTTTGTTGATTAATTAAATACAGTTTGCCTCCTACAGCATTCGTGATTTCCAGTACAAATTAACAGAGTAGAACGCCGTGAAAGAATATCATCCTTCCAGTAAGCAGCTAGACTTTTATTCTCATTGAGCTAGGAATGCATATGAATAAACATATTGTTAACCATTGAAACATGCTCATTTCAGTTCATTTGGCCATGACTCTGGCTCATTTTTCCTGGCCTCTTTCAATGTATTAGTAAAATCCCGACTTATTCATTTGACTGAGGATAGCATATTCCTGAGAGTTATGTGTTGATGGAAAATAAAAAACAGATGTGTATCTACATTACTAATCCTGCTATTAAAAAGCAACTGAACACTGAATGATGCCTTAAGATGTGACAAAAGCCAACCTGATCTCACCTGGGCTCGGGCTGGGTTCTGAGATGGCCTCACTCACAGGTCTGGCATTCAGGTGGAGTGATGGAAGAAATTGGAACCCTCATTTCACCAACATCTAGAAGTTAGTTTAGTGTTCCTCACATGGCATTTGGATTTCAGAAACATCAGGAGTATAACAAGCAAAAAATAAAACAAAACCAAGAATTTTCAAACTTCTGTGTACAGAATGGTTGCTAATGGGAGAAATTAGAAATACTGGAGCCATTTTTGTCTTTTTTTGCAGTCTTCTAGAATACTAGTTTAATTTCACTTTTTTTTTCTAATTGCCTTGTAAAATACAAGTGAGTTATTAAATTAACTTGGCTCTTTTTCCTGTTAATGTATTAAAGATACCTTATAAATCAAATGAATAAGAATGTAATGAGGCACTATTATACCTAGCACTAGGTGATGGCAAGAAGGAAAAAGGGCCTCTACTGTTTTCATTAGTTTATCATACATCATGGTTTCCTTGATAAATCGTGAGATTGCTGTCAATATTTTTTGTTTCTTGTTTTCTTTTTCTTAAAGAGCACACATTTATTATCTTACAGTTCCAAGTGTTAGAAGTCTAAAATAGGTCTCACTGAGCTAAAATCAGTGTATTGGCGGGTTTGCATTCCTTTCTAAGGACTCCAGGGGAGAATTCTTTTTCTTGCTTTTCCAGCTTCTAGAAGCCCCTTCAATTCCTCCAGGCCACTTCCTCCATCTTCAAAGCCAGCAATGGCCAGCCAAGTTTTTCTCCATCACACCAATCTGACTCTTACTCCTCTGTCTCCCCCTTCCACGTTTATGTTTTTTTATTTCAATAGGTTTTCGAGGAACAGGTGGTGTTTGGTTATATGAATATGTTCTTTAATGGTGATTTCTGAGATTTTGGTGCACCTGTCACCCTAGCACTGTCTACTGTACCCAATGTCTAGCCTTTTATCCCTTACCCTCCTCCCACCCTTCCCCCAATTCCAAATTCCCAAAGTCTATTGTATCATTCTTATGCCTTTGCATCCTCATAGCTTAGCTCCCACTTATGAGTGAGAACATACAATGATTGGTTTTCCATTCCTGAGTTACTTCACTTCAAATAACGGTCTCCAATACAAGTTGGAGAGATTTTTTATCAAAGAAAAACTACTGCTGCAAACTGTTCTCTTTAGACCTGGGTGACCATTGCTCATAGAAAGGATGAAGTAACAATGTTGACAAGCCTTTGTCAAACCAGAGCTACTGCTAGTATTGGGGTTAAGGCCAGGATCAACAAAACGTATATTCCCCACAGGTGGCTGCCCCTTGGTATTTGGCTGTTCTCACACTGCTCCAAAGAAATACTTGAGACCGGGTAATTTATAAGGAGAAGAGGTTTAATTGGCTTATAGTCCCATAGGCTGTAGAGGAAGCATGCTGCTGGCATCTATTAGGCTTCTTGGGAGCCCTCAGAAATCTTACAATCACGGCAGAAGCCAAAGGGGGAACAATCATGTCACATGGTGAGAATGGGGGGGACAGAGAGTGTGGAGGCGCAGGTGCCGCAAACTTTTAAATGTCCAGAGCCCACAACCCACGAGGACAGCGCCGAGGGGATAATGCTAAACCATTTATAAGAAACACACTCCCATGATCAAATCACCTCCCACCAGGTCCCCCCTTCAGTACCGGGGATTACAATTCAACATGAGACTTGGGCAGGGACAAACATACAAACTATATCACCCTTCATGCTTATGCTTTCTAACTGTTTAACACTTAAAGAGCATGGGAAGAAACTTATTTTCTATTAGAAAATTTTTATCTTTATTAAAATATGAGAGATTTATTACACACACTCAGTGTAACATGGCCTTTGAACTTAAGTTTGCTGTCATTGTTCTTTTTTCGTTGTTCATAAACTGAGATTGTTCATTACTAATACCCTAGATGATTCTAGTCACCTAAATTCTTTATTTAAAAATAATGGAGGAGGTATAAAAATATGTTCAGGAAATATATTCATGCTACTCAGTGAAGACTGTAGAATATTACGATTTAGCACATGGAATATAGAATTGACTTCCTAGTTGCAATCCAAGTTCTTCCACTTGCTATTTGTGTCACCACAAGCAAATTATTTTAACATTCTTAAGCATCACATTTCTAATTTGAATAATAGAGACGATAATTTCAACCTCCAAATATTGATGTAAGAGTTTTAAAATATAATGTGCGAAGAGTTCTTAACATAAACTCACCGTTCAATAAGGTGGAGCTGTTATCATTAATGTAGTTTATGAGACTGTTATTTCCATTATAAACTTATAGGTCTTTAGATCTATGAATTTAATCAAATGATCTTACTTTTGGACAAATTTAAAACAACACTGAGGGGAGATGAAATAACATTGCTGGAAGAATGTACACTTTTATTTTTAGAACTGCATTTTTAAGAAAATATGCAGAAAACATAATTCTGAATAAGTAGATGAATATGTCTCTGATGTTCTTTTGAAGTATGAACTCCTCTTCTACCTTCAATTTTAACTCTTACATTTCAAGTAAAAAACAGGTCATCCAAAGCATCCTTTATGTCAGACACAACACTGGCAGCAGCAACCCCTATTACTAAGCTCTGTTAGATACTTTATCATACAAATATTTGAATCTCATGTTGCCATTGAACATCTCATATTTTTATCGATATGATGATATTTTAAAACCCCATAATAGTGCCTACAAGATAGATTCACTTTTAATAGAATTTATCTATGCAGCAGCTAATATAGTGAAAAGTACCGTGATCTATGGTATTTGGGGGTGGAAAGGTTGAACCTTTGTCTAGCATTGATTATGAAATAATTTGCCTATTAAAACTATAGAGATTTATTAATCTGTGTTAGCATCTGCTCTTTCATTTTTAAAATATTTTATTTACATAAATTATCAAAAGTCTGTTATGGATATATTTGCCTCTGTGTATAAACTCTCCTCCCTGAAGAGTCTTGTAATAGTTTTCTCTTCTTTCTTGTGCAATGCCTATTCTGCAGTCATGTAGTCGAGGCCTTGCTCTGGCTGTACTCACAGGGGCTACCTGGAAAAGTCATTCAGTTGCATGGAATACTGAGTTGTGTCAATAAACGCTTTCTCAATAGCTTTCTTTTCTCCTCCTGCCACCTGCCTTCCCACTCCACCCCCTAGTCTGACATTCTCAGGTTGCATTAATTCTGTCTCATGTTCTCTCCATTAGTGTGAATTATTTGTTATATTTTGCTTTAATTGCCATCCACTGTAGTCTTTTTTAACTCTCTCCATCTAATTTTGTCCATTCCACCTTCATTATTTCTACTCTTTTCCCAAATCTCTCCCAAGGCACAGATTCCCCAGGCTCTCCCTTATTTTGCTAGAACATTTAGTATGTTTCCTTTAATTTTTAAATCCCAGTAATGACTGATGCTTCCAAACACTTTGGATATTGGGATTTTAGGTTAAAGATGATTCATGGTATGAATTACAAAGAAATGATTTAGTTCAAAGTGACTGGATTAGTGATTTAGAGGAGACTAAAATTTAAGATTACTTAAGGTAGGCTCGGGAGAAAAAAATACAAAACTAATCATAAAATTTTGCCTAAGGATTATGTCCTCTTTGAATATGTTCCTTATTCCCAAAACATCCTTTGGCTGTAAATATAGATAATTCAGTTTTATAGTTTTACAACTATTCAGTTAATTTACAACTCCTTAAAAGTGAGGTTAGTGTCTTACACTCACTGAGAAACATCCCCAAAGTCTTGGGATTTCATCTTCTGTCTTTCAAGATTTATTTCATTATGAAGCAGGTTGCTCACCTTCCAAAAGTGGAAATCCTTCATCTGTAAAACAGTGTTAATGATGTATACTTCAGAGTCTTAGTATCTAGGGATCACAGCAGCAAAATCAGGAACTACCATAATTGCTACTAGCATTTGGAGAAAAATATTCCACAGTGTATTAGAAAGCAGAGGTGTTGGTGTTAGTGAAAGGTGGGTTTGAGTATCAGCTCATGGGACATACTAATGGCCTGATCTTACATTTGTCACTTATACCATATGACTCTGTTCTCTCATCTAGAAAATGAGTATCATGGGTTAGGCGAGGTGGCTCACGCCTGTTATTCCCGCACTTTGGGAGGCTGAGGCGGGTGGATCACGAGGTCAGGAGATCGAGACCATCCTGGCTAACACAGTGAAACCCCGACCGTCTCTACTAAAAATACAAAAAATTAGCTGGGCGTGGTGGTGGGCGCCTGTAGTCCCAGCTACTGGGGAGGCTGAGGCAGGAGAATGGTGTGAACCTGGGAGGTGGAGCTTGCAGTGAGCCGAGGTCGTGCTGCTGCACTCCAGCCTGGGCGACAGAGCGAGCCTCCGTCTCAAAAAAAAAAAAAAAAAAGAAAAGAAAAAGAAAATGAGTATCATAATAGCGCTGTATTAGAAGACACCAATGCCTGTGCTCAGCAGAGCAGTGGCATCCACATTCTCTTTTTGTGCATAGTTTTCCAGCACAGAGTAGAACGCACCAAATGTGTTGATTAACTGATTCCTATAACTTTGAATATATCATTAAGGAACACAAACTAAGTAGGTCAGAAGACTATAGTAGATAAAAGAAGAAGAAGGTACAATTAATAGTGATATTGACACAAAATGACAGTTCTCAAAAAAAAGTTCACGAATCTGTATAATGATCAAGATTAAAGAAAATTTTACTTTGAAAACTAAGTTTGGTAATTATATTTAGCGGCAAAAAAAATGATGATCAAAACACTTCCAGTTAACACAAAGAATTTAAAGTTGTGATTAGCTTGTAGATAGAACTTGAATTTCATTTTGAGAATGATTGAAGTTTGGGTTAAAGATGGAACTCAAAGAACAGCAATCTGCCCACTTAAAAAGTTACTGTTTCCTTTTTTCATATTAAAGTGTTTTATTCTGTAATGACGTACTGAGAGACAGAAACTCACCCAGCTTGGGTTAAAAATCATACAGGATCCCCATGTTTCTCTTTTCGGTTCCTCTTTACAATGGGCATTCCACTATGAGATAGCACAGATAACTTGGCTGAGAACTCTTCATTTACACACAAGATGCACAGCCTGGAGGTATCTCATAGCCCTTGTCATGGACTGAATTGTGCCCCTCCCAAATTCGTGTGTTGAAATCTTAACCCTCAATACTTCAGAATGTGGCTGTATTTGAAGATCTGGTCTTTAAAGAGATAAAATGAAGGCATTAGAGTGGGCTCTAATCCAATATGACTGGTGTCTTTACGAGAAGGCATTAGGATGCAGACACAAAGGGGAGATCATGTGAAAACACTAGAGAAGGATGGTCATCTACAAGCCAAGGAGAGAGGCTGCAGAAGAGCTACATCCCTGACAACAACCTGCTCTAGGACTTCTAGCCTCCAGAACTGTGAGCAAATAAATTTCTGTTGTTCAAGACTTGCAGTCATGGTATTTGTTATGACAGCCTTAGCAAAATAAGACATCCGTGTTCACACTGTCTCCAGCACTGGATGTAGGAAAATCTCTTTTATTATCTTATTCCAAAATTTGCTCAATATCTGAAAGGTAATCTTCAGATTCAGATCTGTGTGACTCTAAACAAATTTTGAAATTTTATACATATTGAAATTTTATACATTATATATGTATAAAATATATACATATATATATTGCTAATGGTAAAACTATTACATGAACCTAGCAAAATTATCACTTGGGCTTACCATTGTCATTTTTACTACTAATAATGTAACTTTTAGGGTTGAATGTACCAACAACACTTTTAAACATTCTATATAATATTGCAAGCAGTTAATTTTGTTGGGTAGTTTCATAAGGCTATTTTTTATCCTCCTATAAAATATTTGAGTTTTTAAGGGAAGCCCCCCAAAATTGCTGTATCAGAAAAAAAATGGTTTTGTAATTGTGCCTCTAACTCTAAAATGGAATATTAAAAATGATGGATAAAATTTTCACAATAGTACTTTAAGACATCTAGAAATTTGACAGATGATTGTCACGATTCAATCCCTTTTTCTTCATGTTTTGCAGTATAAAGCAATATTTTAATTGAGAAGCATTTGACAAAACAGAAATACATGCTGTATACCTCTTTATGCATCTGTTGAGATGTTCTTAAAGTCAGCATTGATTTGCAAAGGCCAAGTGCCCCACAGCCCACTGGAGAAGACTAGATACAATTCCACAAATGCTTACTACTGTGTCGAAATTTGTAGCAGTTGCTCTGATTTTAGGTATGGATATGCAGATGAATAAGTCATGTCTCCTTTCGTCACAGATTTTACAGTCTGGTGGAGAGACAAACATGTTTAATGTTATTTAGCACAGTATGTGCTATGAGAGACACCTGTATATATCCCAGGGTTTATCACCAAGTGAAAATAAGTGATCTCAGGTTGACTGATACCTTAGCACAGAGTAAAATGAATTTGAGGCAGGAGCACGTTTTCTAAATGTTTTTGTGTGCTACAAGGCAAAGAGAAAACATACTGCTCAAGAAATAGGAGATAGTTGGGGAAAAGGCAATTTATACATGAAAGGTATGAGAAGCAATTCTGAAAGGAAGATAGAGATAAGAAATAAGGCATAAAACTACCACCCACTAATCGCCTTTCCCCAAAAAAATGAATAAGCAAAGGTCAAGATCAGGGGCTTTGAAAAGAGAAATGCTTGAACTAGAACATACACAATAGGTAAAACATATTTGCATTGGATCCACAAATGCAGAACAACCCCCGATATCCCCAAGCCAACTTTTCAAATTTTTATAAAAATAGACTAGAATTAGGCCAATTTAAATCATCACTTATTTGTTGTTGCAGCCAACATTTGGATAGTTATTAGCATCATTCATTCCTGAAGCATGTATTGAATGCCTACTATGTTCCACACAATTCAATAACAAATAAAATCAAGCTTAGAGCCAAGTGAGGCTCTAATAACTTCGAAATGGCGATATCTTCATCTATCCTATTTATTGAGAATTGTCTATGTTTAGAGCACGGTAGCAGGGTACAATATAGCCAAATGCTGTCGCTCTACATAGGAAAACACACCGAGTTTTATCTGCTACTGGTTTTCAGCTGCCAGCAGTTCTGGAAAATTTGAGAATTGTCTATGTTTAGAGCACGGTAGCAGGGTACAATATAGCCAAATGCTGTTGCTCCACATAGGAAAACACACCGAGTTTTATCTGCTACTGGTTTTCAGCTGCCAGCAGTTCTGGAAAATTGCATCCTAATGACAGATGCTACTATTTAAAATGAAAACTGATTTTTTTTTTTTGGTAAAAGAGACTGAGAGAAAAACAAGTTTTAGACAAATTCCAAAGCATGAAAGAATGCTCATCCCAACCATTTCTGTGGGAAGAATATCTAGAATGTGGTTGGCAGCCAAATAGCCATATAACTGTGTAATTGCAAGCTGAGTAGAGAAAGAGACTAGCGTCAAGTGGGAGATATTCCAGGGACAAGTAGAAATTCAAGGGAAAAACGCACCGTGGGGTCACAGAATAAGTCTTTTCACAAATCCTGTGACAAATGCTGTTTGCCACATGTACTTAATATCTAATTGGAAAGATAATTCTGGCTGTCTTTAGCTCTCAGGGCTCTTAGGAGTTTGATGTGACATACAGGTGTTAAAGTACGTAAAAAATGTTAAACACCAGATAAATGGAAAGGTTTGTGATTAAAAATTAAGTTTCACCGCATTGAGAAATGCCACAAGTAGGCAGACTTGCAGAAGTATTGTCTTCAAAGATGTGGAATGAGCTATGTGGAATGAACCAAGAATAAAACATTCCTCATAATTGTGCCCATGCTTAAAGCCATTGCCACCAGCAGTAACTTTATCAAAAGAGGGCATAATCAGTCAGAAGCAAACAATTTCAAATCACTGCAAATATCATGTGACCCATCTGAAGAGCCATTTTGCCACACTTTTAAATGTGTTTTTCTCCTGATGGATGATTAAATAGGCAGTTAATGTCCTTTTTCCTTGAGTGATTGAAGGACACTAAGTCAAAATTACAATTTAGACAAGACAAGGAATTCTGCACTGATGTTCTAATAGCACACGATATTTGAAATGATGATTTATACTCCAGTCCTTCTTGACAGGATGTGCCTCATGCTGAGGATGTCTGTCTGTCTGTCTGTCTGTCTGCCTGATTCATTGGCACATGTCTTTTTGTCTGGACTTAGTACTGGTTCTCCATGAAGTAGGACCCTTTACAACTAGAAAACTTACCCTTACCCCCACCATGTCTCTGGGCTGAAAACTAATAGTCCCACCAAAACTGTGGCCAGAGTTGTTGGAAGACTCTTCCTATAATTAATGTCCTATAAACTTAATTCTCTTCAACAAACATTCATTAGATACTAACTCTCTTTGTTAAGTACTATAGACTACACACCACACAAGGATAAACCTCCAGAAATTTATCAGCTGCTAAGAGAGATAAACCATGTACATCAGTGTGGTAAGATATTTTGTATTAACCATCTGCCTCTGCTACCCCTCCTCCTGGGTCCTCACACCCACTCTGTGTACCCAGTTAGATTTCATATGCCAATTTCCTTGGAGAAGCACTCCATGGAGAACTGAGAAACAACAAAATGAAATGCTTTGCTCTTAAGTTCTAATGATGAAATCCATGGAGATCTTGATCCAAATAAATAAATAAATAATCTATGATCCAGCTTGTTATCTCCCAACTGAAACTACACAAAGGATCTACAGAGCAGGTGAAAGAATGAGGCAGTGGTCCACATTAACTAAAATGAGCTTGATAAGGACAGACCGCTGAGCCCCGCTTGGCAGGCGCGTCAGTAACCAGCATCAGGGAGTCAGTGGAACTGTTCTTCTCCTACGGAACCTCAGGTCTTCGTGCAGATAAGCCCTGTACATTGCCTGTGAAAAGAAGTTCTATCAGCTTTCCTTCTCTTTGTCATTTGATGAGGCTTTTTAATCACTTTAAACTCCCAGCTCCCATCACCGTATCTTTTTTATGTGGACAAGCCTCTTTCCAAAAACCCAGGACACAGGATGGAGTCCTGGACCCCCCAAAAAATGGCAGTGATGGGAAGGGAAAAGTCCCACAACCAAGAAAGATGGGATTTAGCAGAAGCAACTGAAAATCTTCCACTAGTTGAGGCAGTGCTAAAACCAATGCTCATTTGACACAAATGTTTTCTTAGGCGTATTCCATGGACCACCAATATACTGTAAGGTGAAAGTGTCTTTATTATTAAAAATTCATAATTCCATAGTTAAGCAAGCTCTCAAATGTTTTATATTCTAAATCCTTCCATAAATGTCTCAAGACTCCAAGAAACATATAGTAGGGGAAAATTACAATTTCCCAAATTTAAACGATCACAAAATTCTTTGTCAAGAAACATCAATCTTACAGTACACTAATGTTCCATGGACAACAGTCTTGAATAAATATTATTTACCATGAAATATATTGCGTATCTATTATGAGTTAAATACTAATCTAAAAGAATAAACTAGAAAGCAGTGTTAACCTTACCAGAGACGCAGATTAAATGTTGCAGAGATTCAAAGGAAAGAAACCTCATTCCTAGCCAAGACGTATAGGCGGTGATTTCAGGAACATGGCATTTAGGTATGGTCTTGAAAATCAGGCAGCTTTTGAATATTGGGGGGTGGATGGGGGAAAGTTATGCTGTGATGAGAAAATAGCAGAACAGGTATACCAAGGGGAAGAGAACCAGCATGAAGAAGAGAAAGTAGCTTTTCTTGGCTGTAGAATAGGAAACCCAAACAGATTAACAGATATGACAAGGCAGAAGAGGCTGATTGGGGCCAAATATGGGGAGCAGTGATTTCAAAACAAAGTTTGATCTTTACTTCATAGAAATAACCATGACCTGCTCCAGGTTAATAAGCAAAATAATCACACTTCTAAGGCATGACTTTCACATCATCCAATTAACATATTCATGATGCACATATTATCATATTGCATTCATGAGTAACGTAGAGTTAACCCTCCAGTTAAAACTGTGAGACAGAAAAAACATATTTTTTGTCACTACCCTTTTTTTCTGCTCTGTGCAACTTCGCTAGAATTAACTGTGGTCCTATCTTCTGAGTACATACTAATTAGACTTCCTGCCACCTAAGAATCTTTGCTATCCTCATTTTTCTTCCTCATGGATATTTTTCATTTTTCCTCACCTCTCTCTGCTATTATCTATGCACCTCTCCACTTTTCAATTATTCTACATATTTAACAAGTTCCCAAGAGAGAAGAGTGTCCAACTGGTGCATTTTATTTGACAATAGCTGGTATTTATGTAATGAGTGCTGCTATGTGGCAAGTTTTTCTTGCATACATTTATTTTTAAGAAACACACATTAATAATTCCCCTGTGCAAGAGATGAAGGTAAGAGGTAATAGTAATTTACACAATACAAACCAGAAGTTCCAATTTATGCCTGTCAGACTACAAGGTGCATTCGTAACTCTGGTAACAATTTATTTCTGGGCCTTCAGAGACAAGGTTGCTTACCTTCCTAAGTAACTCTAATTAAAACAACAACAACAAAGTTTTAAGGAGGTTGAGGATGAAAATTTGGCCTTAGAAAAAACAAAGGATTATCTAAGGTTTGCCTATTCCGTTCATTCAATAGGCCACTCTGCTTAAAAATTTAAGAATTCGCTAAACCTCAGTCCACTCTGTTAACAATATTCATTGGAATATTAAATGTTTATTTATTTATTTATTTTTGTCTAAAGGATATTTGGGAAGTATACTGTATCAAAGCAGCAGAAAAGGAGCTGTAATAGTTACTTTTCAGTGTAATACTAAGCAGTTAATTTTTTTAAAGAATGATTTCGCGGATTTTTAAATAACCTGATTTTATAAGGTAAGCAAAACCTACTTAATAAATGAACCAAGTCTAAAATCTACCTATAACTTACCAGCAGAAAACTTAAAAATAACTACATTATTATATTTCAAAGTATTCTTAAAAACTTGAATTAGCCTCTGTAAAACTGTAAAAATACAAAATAATTGATTAAGGAATAATATATAAAAGATGGGAAAGGACATAGCTTATGAGAAGAAAAAATTAAATAGAGAAAAGGAAATAGTGTGATACTAATTCAGTTGAGTAAAAATTCAGTTATTCATTGTTTTTCTTACCAGAAATATGACAGTTAGGCAAACTACTTAAACTCTGTGTTTTAGCTTTCTCATCTACAAAAAGAGATATGAATAGTTCCTACTTCCTATATAGTTGTTGAGAAGTTACAAGTAGTTCATAATTGTCAAGGGTAGAGGAAGTGTTCAGGATGTAGTATGAGCCATTTAAGTATTGACTACTATTGTTACTAAAGGGACTGAAAATGACAACTATGAGTATTTTGCATTTTGCTTGAAAAATAAAACGACGTGTGGATACAAAAGTATTAAATATTTGCAAAATTCACAATCTATGAAGAATTACACAAATGTGGATGACAATGGTCGAAGAATTGAAGCACTATGGTGATCATTAGAGACTCACCAAACCCCTTCCTTCTCCTTGGGCACACAGTAGGATTTCATTTCTCAGCCTTATATTGCAACTAGGTGAGTCCACGTGACTTGAGTGTTGTCCATTGGAACATGCACAAGAGGTATGTGGGTCACTTCCAAATGTAAAATGTCAAAATCTCCCACAGTATCCTTGGTGTGTTCTCACTCCTCATATCCTGGGCAGATGCCAAAGGAGATTTCACTGGCATTGGGAGATCTCAGAGACAGAGAGAGCCTGTGTGCTCTAATGATGGTGCAGTGAACAGCCTCCACTTCCCAACTTGCCATCTCACATTTTGATCACGTCATGAACATTTTTTGTTTTAAGCCACTTTGGTTTCGAACTTATTTTTCACAGGAATTAGCCTACTATAACTGACAGAGTAACGAAAAAGTATTCAAACAGGAATTGGGACACTTGTGTCCAAATTGCCTTTCTCACGTTTACTAACTATGTAACCCCAGGGATTTACTCAATCTCTGAATTTTCTTTTCTTTGCTGTAAAACTCCTATTATAAAAGTTGTAGGTCTTCAATCCATCTTGAATTAATTTTTGTATAAGGTGTAAGGAAGGGATCCAGTTTCAGCTTTCTACATATGGCTAGTCAGTTTTCCCAGCACCATTTATTAAATAGGGAATCCTTTCCCCATTGCTTTTTTTTCTCAGGTTTGTCAAAGATCAGATAGTTGTAGATATGCAGCATTATTTCTGAGGGCTCTGTTCTGTTCCATTGATCTATATCTCTGTTTTGGTAACAGTACCATGCTGTTTTGGTTACTGTAGCCTTGTAGTATAGTTTGAAGTCAGGTAGCGTGATGCCTCCGGCTTTGTTCTTTTGGCTTAGGATTGACTTGGCGATGCGGGCTCTTTTTTGGTTCCATATGAACTTTAAAGTAGTTTTTTCCAATTCTGTGAAGAAAGTCATTGGTAGCTTTATGGGGATGGCATTGAATCTATAAATTACATTGGGAAGTATGGCCATTTTCATGATATTGATTCTTCTGACCCACGAGCATGGAATGTTCTTCCATTTTTTTCGTATCCTCTTTTATTTCCTTGAGCAGTGTTTTGTAGTTCTCCTTGAAGAGGTCCTTCACGTCCCTTGTAAGTTGGATTCCTAGGTATTTTATTCTCTTTGAAGCAATTGTGAATGGGAGTTCACTCATGATTTGGCTCTCTGTTTGTCTGTTATTGGTGTATAAGAATGCTTGTGATTTTTGTACATTGATTTTGTATCCTGAGACTTTGCTGAAGTTGCTTATCAGTTTAAGGAGATTTTGGGCTGAGATGATGGGGTTTTCTAGATATACAATCATGTCATCTGCAAACAGGGACAATTTGACTTCCTTTTTTCCTAATTGAATACCCTTTATTTCCTTCTCCTTACTAACTGCCCTGGCCAGAACTTCCAACACTATGTTGAATAGGAGTGGTGAGAGAGGGCATCCCTGTCTTGTGCCAGTTTTCAAAGAGAATGCTTCCAGTTTTTGCCCATTCAGTATGATATTGGCTGTGGGTTTGTCATAGATAGCTCTTATTATTTTGAGATACGTCCCATCAATACCTAATTTACTGAGAGTTTTTAGCATGAAGCGTTGTTGAATTTTGTCAAAAGCCTTTTCTGCATCTATTGAGATAATCATGTGGTTTTTGTCTTTGGCTCTGTTTATATGCTGGATTACATTTATTGATTTGCATATATTGAACCAGCCTTGCATCCCAGGGATGAAGCCCACTTGATCATGGTGGATAAGCTTTTTGATGTGCTGCTGAATTCGGTTTGCCAGTATTTTATTGAGGATTTTTGCATCAATGTTCATCAAGGATATTGGTCTAAAATTCAATTTTTTGGTTGTGTCTCTGCCCAGCTTTGGTATCAGGATGATGCTGGCCTCATAAAATGAGTTAGGGAGGATTCCCTCTTTTTCTATTTATTGGAATAGTTTCAGAAAGAATGGTACCAGTTCCTCCTTGTACCTCTGGTAGAATTCGGCTGTGAATCCATCTGGTCCTGGACGTTAGACTAAAACCATAAAAACCCTAGAAGAAAACCTAGGCATTACCATTCAGGACATAGGCATGGGCAAGGACTTCATGTCTAAAGCACCAAAAGCAATGGCAACAAAAGCCAAAATTGACAAATGTGATCTAATTAAACTAAAGAGCTTCTCCACAGCAAAAGAAACTACCATCAGAGTGAACAGGCAACCTACAAAATGGGAGAAAATTTTCACAACCTACTCATCTGACAAAGGGCTAATATCCAGAATCTACAATGAACTCAAACAAATTTACAAGAAAAAAACAAACAACCCCATCAAAAAGTGGGCGAAGGACATGAACAGACACTTCTCAAAAGAAGACATTTATGCAGCCAAAAAACACATGACAAAATGCTCACCATCACTGGCCATTAGAGAAATGCAAATCAAAACCACAATGAGATATCATCTCACACCAGTTAGAATGGCAATCATTAAAAAGTCAGGAAACAACAGGTGCTGGAGAGGATGTGGAGAAATAGGAACACTTTTACACTGTTGGTGGGACTGTAAACTAGTTCAACCATTGTGGAAGTCAGTGTGGCAATTCCTCAGGGATCTAGAACTAGAAATACCATTTGACCCAGCCATTCCGTTACTGGGTGTATACCCAAAGGACTCTAAATCATGCTGCTATAAAGACACATGCACACGTATGTTTATTGAGGCACTATTCACAATAGCAAAGAGTTGGAACCAACCCAAATGTCCAACAATGATAGACTGGATTAAGAAAATGTGGCACATATTCACCATGGAATACTATGCAGCCATAAGAAATGATGAGTTCATGTCCTTTGTAGGGACATGGATGAAATTGGAAATCATCATTCTCAGCAAACTATCGCAAGGACAAAAAACCAAACACTGCATATTCTCACTCGTAGATGGGAATTGAACAATGAGAACACATGGACACAGGAAGGGGAATATCACACTCTGGGGACTGTTGTGGGGTGGGGGATGGGGGGAGGGATAGCTTTAGGAGATATACCTAATGCTAAATGATGAGTTAATGGGTGCAGCACACCAACATGGCACATGTATACATATGTAACTAACCTGCACATTGTGCACATGTACCCTAAAACTTAAAGTATAATAATAACAAAATAAAAAAAAAAATAAAGGTGGTAGGAAATAAATAGTATAGTTTCAGGGCTTGGAATGGAGTGTAAATATTGTAATGGACAGTTAAATCTAAATGTAGCAGTAATTTAGTCAATACTTACATAGCACTGAAATGTCTATATTGGGTAGGACAATTAGTAAAATCATATTTTAACAATAATAACAACTATTTAGTTGCCTGAATATTTCACTTTTCAATAGCTGATTTCACAAGAATGCAGCTCTCAAAGATATCGTGTTGCTTTTAACCATTTTCTCCAGATACATGGTATCAATATATTCAAGAAAAGAACAGGGTTTTATTTTTTTCCTGATGTCTTTGCACCAATTTTCCCAATTTCTTTTCTAATAGAGTAGCTTGTATTTAATATGCACAACAACTGCAGGTCATTAATTCTCTGAGTCTTTCCTAAATCAATCCTCTGGATGTGGACTAGAATCTTAATACAGTTTTAGTAGTTGGGAATCTCATCTAATTTATTACATGGAGAGAGGTATGACACAGGAAAAATGCATATTAACTATGTAGATGAATATGTTTTTTTTTTCTTTCCAAGTATCTGTTTTCTTTTCAAAATGATCATGAATAGATAGCTACCTAAGGAAGGTTGTCACATTAGCTTAATCAATATAGAAATTCTATATATGAATATATATATAAGAATATAGTATTATGCATGCATGTATTTTACAGCTAGTTGTCTATTTTCTAGAGGCAGCTAGACAGTGGTGAAGAGCAAGTTTCAGCTTTGAGGTTTTTTTTAACTTTTTATTGGGAAATAAAATAGACAACCACGAAAAAAATGCATTAAACATTGATGTAAAAATTAACAGTTGGATACTAAATAAACTGTTGTACAACTATCACATATAACTAGAAATTTAACAACAGTACCAGCACCTCAGAAGCCCTCCATGTGCCCCTTCTCAATTAAAATTCCTCCCTCTACCCGATGAAACCACTCTTTTAACTTTTGTCGTAATGAATTTCTTGCTTTCATTATACTTTTACCACCTAACTATGCATCCTTAAACACTATAGTTTAATTTTCATGGGTTTTTGAAGCTTATGTAATGAAATCATCAGTTTTATTCTTTTCTAATTTTTTCTTTAACTTAAAAATACTTCATAAGATTTATTCGTGTTAGGGCCAGGCGCGGTGGCTCACGCCTGTAATCCCAGCACTTTGGGAGGCCGAGGTGGGCAGATCACGAGGTCAGGAGATCGAGACCATCCTGGCTAACATGGTGAAACCCCGTCTCTACTAAAAATACAAAAAAAAATTAGCCGGGCTTGGTGGCGGGTGCCTGTGGTCCCAGCTACTCGGGAGGCTGAGGCAGGAGAATGGCGTGAACCCGGGAGGTGGAGCTGGCAGTGAGCCAAGATCGCACCACTGCACTCCAGCCTGGGTGACAGAGCGAGACTCCGTCTCAAAAAAACAAACAAACAAAAAAGATTTATTCGTGTTAATTTATGTAGCTGTAGTTTGTGCATTTTCAATGCTGTATAACAATTGTTTGAAGATGCCACAATTTTTATATCTGTTTTACTGTTGATGGACATTTGGGTTATTTCCAATTTGGGACTATTACAATTGTGATGCCATTAACATTTTTGTGATAGTCAATAACAACGTACACTTAAATTTTTGTCAAGAGGGTAGGACTTCACATTGGGTTCTTACCAAAACAAGGTAAAATAGTAAAACAGAATAATAATTCTTGTACGTGTCTCCTGGTGGTCTTAGTGGTCATGTGCACATCTGCTATTGGATGTTGCCTTAGAGGTAGAATTGTTGGCTTAGAAGTATACAATTTATATTCCTACCAACAGATTATGAGTAAACCAGTGGCTCCCCTTCCTTACCAATGCATGAGCATTCTGGTGAGTATATTATACTATTGTAGCTTTAACTGTCATTTGATTGATTGCTAAGGAAATTGAACACATATTTATGTTTCTCAGAAATTTGGATTTTCTCATTTGTGAAGCAGCTTTGAAGTCTTTGCTCTTTTTTGACTGGGTTGTTTGTCTTCTACAATTGCTATGTACATTCTGCATATAGTGTTTTGTTCATTTACGTGTTGCAAATATTTTTTCTTTCATTCTTTAGCTTATCCCTTCATCCTCTTCATGTTTCATTTTCATTTGACAAACAGAAGTCCCTAATTTTAATATAATTTTCCAACTTCTTCTAGTATGGTTATTACCTTTTGAGATGTGTTTAAGACATATTTTTCAAATGTGAAGGTTAAAAGTTCCCCAAAATACTATCTATGTAATCTTCTTTAAACTTTGCAGCTAAATAGCTTTAAAATTTAGCTGTATGAGGTATTTTCAAAAAGTTCATGGAAAATGCATATTATGAAAAAAACTATGCATGTATTTCAAAAGTTTTTGCACCAAAATAAACTCAGACTAACTTATTAAAACATGCCTAAACAGGATCTAGTTTGAGGCACTAAAAAGGATAAGGTATAAGTTATAAAAGAGCATCTATCAGAAAAACATGAATTGTGCTAACATTGAAGCAAGAACAAACATCAAATTTATAATTAATGGTGAAAGAATGGTGAAATCAGTGATGGTTTACAAAAAGTCTATGGAAAAAATGCCCCAAATAAGTCAGCAGTTCACAAATGGATAACTCGTTTTGTTTTTTTGTTTGTTTGTTTGTTTTTTGTTTTTGATACGGAGCCTGGCTCTATCACCCAGGCTGGAATGCAGTGGCATGAACTCTGCTCACTGCAAGCTCCACCTCCTGGGTTCATGCCATTCTCCTGTCTCAGCCTCCCGAGCAGATGGGACTACAGGCACCTGCCACCACACCTGGCTAATTTTTGTATTTTTAATAGAGATGGGGTTTCACCTTGTTAGCCAGGATGGTCTCGATCTCCTGACCTCGTGATCTGCCCGCCTTGGCCTCCCAAAGTGCTGGGATTACGGGAGTGAGCCACCGCGCCCGGCCACAAATGGATAACTCATTTTAAGAAGGGATGAGATGCTGTTGAAGATGAAGCTCATAGTTCCAGGTCATTCACATCAATTTGTGAGGATAAACTTTATTTTGTTCATGTCCTAATTGAAGAGGACTGAAGATTAACAGCAGAAACAATAGCTGACATCACAGACATCTCAATTGGCTTAGCTTACACATTCCTGACTAAAGAATTAAAATTGAATGTGCAAAACGTTTGTGCCCAGATCAGCCACAGACCAGGGCAGAGCTTTCAGTGAAAATTTTAAAGAAGTGGGATCAAGAACCTTAAGCTCTTTCTTCAAATAATAATAATGGTAGATAAACATGGCTTTACCAGTACTGTCCTGAAGACAAAGCACAATCAAAGTAACAGCTACCAATAAGTGGTGTGGTCCAGTCAAAGCACAAGCAGACCAGTCAAGAGCAAAGATTATGGCAACAGCTTTTTGGGATGCTCAAGGCATTTTGCTTGTTGACTTTCTGAAGACCCAGAGAATGACAACATCTGCTTATCATGAGAGTTCTTTGAGAAAGTCAGTCAAAACTTAATCAGAAAAGTGCCCAGGAAAGTTTCACTGGCAAGTCCTTCTGCACCATGAAATGTTTCTGTTCATTCCTCTCATCAAACAAGGGCCATTTTCTGAGACTTTTTGATGGAAAAATCATTTATCATCCACCTTATGGTCTATATTTGGCTCTTCCTGATTCCTTTTTGTTTCCTATGCTATTGAAGTTGTTGATTTATTTAAGTAATGTGATCAATATCAAATTTCATTTTTTTCAAATGGATGTCTAATTCTTCCCACATCATTTATTGAAGAACTGTCTCTTTGCTACTGTGCTTCAATGCTACCTGTGTCATAAATCAAGCATTTAAAAATGCAACAGTCTATTTCTGGACTCTGTGATCGTTCAGTTGTCTGTTTTCCAATCCTGGTACTAATATCACATTTTCTTGATTGCTATTGCTTTAAAATAAGCCTTGATGTCAAGTTAAGAAACTCCTCTCATGTTCTTTTTTCAAAGGAATCGTGGCTATTATTGACCTGTTATTTTTATGTGCATTTTAGAACCAGCTCGTTAAGTTCTACTGCATCCCCAAATAAAAAGCAAGCTGGTATTTTTAAAATAGACTTTATTTTTTAGTGCAACTTTGTGTTTACAGCAAAATTAAGAAAGTACAGAGACTTCCCTGATACTACGAGCTCGCACACATATATAACCCTCCCCATTATAAACACTCCCCACCAGAGTGGCACATTTGTTACAACTGGTAAACTTACATTGACATACCATTACTACCCCAAATATATTGTTTAATTAAGTTTCACTCTTGGTGGTTGTACATTCTATGGATTTGGACAAATGTGTAATGACATGCATCTATCATTATAGTTTTAAACAGAATATTTTCACTGGCCTAAAAATCATCTGTGTTCCACGAGTTATCCCTCCCTCCTCCCTCATTCCCAGAAACCACTAATCTTTTTATTATCTCTATAGTTTTGCCTTTGCCAGAATGTTATATATTTGGAGTCATACAATATGTAGACTTTTTATTGGCTTCTTTCATGTAGTAATATACATTTACATTTTCTTCATGCCTTTTTATGGCTTAGGAGCTCATTTCTTTTTAGTCATGAATAATATTCTATTGTCTGATGTACCACAGTTGATTTATCCATTTACCTACTGAAGGGCATCTTGGTTGCTTCCAAGTTTTGGTAATTATGAATAAAGCTGCTATAAACATTTCTGTGCAGGTTTTTGTGTGAACAAACCTGTGAGTTAATACCAAGGCATTCAATGAATAATATGGTAAATGTATGTATAAGCCTTGGAAAAAATTACCAAACTGTTTTCCAAAGTTGTACTATTTTGCATTCCCACCAGTAATGAATAAGAGAGCTCGTGTTGCTCTAAATCCTTGTCAGCATTTGATGTTGTCAGTGTTTTGAATTTTGGTCATTCTAATAGATGTGTAGTGGTATATCATTGTTTCAATTTGAGTTTTCCTGATGAGATATGATGGGGAGAAGAGATTCTTTGTCCTCAATATCTCTTCTTTGATACAGTGTCTTTTGGTATTTTCAATTAGACTGCATTATATCTCAAGATGAATTTGGGGAGAATTGTGACCTTTGTCTCCACAAAATTATATGTTGAAGCCCTAACCATCATTGTGACTGTATTTGGAGATGGTGTCTTTGGGAGGTTATTAAAACAAACTGTGATCATAAAGGTGGTGCCATAACCAGATAGGATTTGTAGCCTTATAAGGGGAGAAAGAGTGTATCTCTCCATGCACATACATCAAGGAAAAGCTGTGTTAGAACACAAGAAAGTGGCTGTCTGTAGGCCAAAAGAAGAAGTCTCAGAATGAAATCTGCCTTACAGGCATCTTGATTTTGAATTTTCCACCTTTAAGAGCAGGAAGAATAAATTTGTGTTGTTTAAGCTACCCAGTATATAATATTTTGTTATCACCATCTGAGATGACAAATAGATTTTGGTACCAGGAGTGAAATACTGCTACAACAAATACCTAAAAAGGTGGAAGTGACTCAGGAGCTGGGTAATGGGTAGAGACTGAAGAAGTTTTGAGATGTATGCCAAAAAAATATGGACATTAAGAGTGGTTTCAGTTAGACATTAGAAAGAAAAGAGGAGAGCTGGAGAGAAAACTTCCATCTTTTTAGAGACTATATAGCCATGAAAAGAATTTGATAAAAATATGAATGTTAAAGGCCACTCTTGTGAGATGTCAAATGAAAATGAGGAACATAGTATTGGAAATGACAAAAAGTGAGACTTGTTATAAAATCGCAAAGAACTTGGCTGAAGTGTGTTTGTGTTCTAGTGTTTGGTAGAAGGTAGAACTGGCAAGGATTGAAATCAAATACTTAGCTTAGGAAATTTCTAGGCAAAGTGTCAAAAGAGCAGCTTTGTTTTTCCTGACTGCTTATAGTAAAAAGCAAGAAGAGAGAGATGAATTGAGGAAGACATTATTAAACAAAAAGGAACTGGAACTTGAAGATTTGGAAATTCTCAGCCAATTCATATTGCAAATGTTGATGATAAAGTATGTACTGAGGACAACACCAATGGTGTGACTGGACTATCACTTGATAAAATGTATGTAAGATTATACTAACAGAAATACAGCAAGTATGAACTGAAGGGAACAAAGATAAGATGAAATGAATGAAGGCCATCAGACTCATTAAATTTCACAGGATGAGTAGATAGAACAATTTGGCTGCAAATGTATTCTATCCTTTAAAAAGAGAGAGAAATGGCCCCAAGATAATTTAGAGATTTTCAGGGCCACTACCTTGGTTGCAACAAGCTAGATAGTTGGGGGCAGAACTCGCTAGCAGAGCCTTGGCAGCAGGTTCTTAGGGATGAGGTTTTAGAGGCAGGAGCTTAGGGATGAGACCCTAAGAACAGGATCAACTGGCAGATTTTATAGAGCCATCAAAGCCAAGGGTTTCTATTTCTAGATATTTTTTATTTCAGTCTTTTCACATATGATATTTACATGGTAAAATTTTATTTACTGTTTATTGCTGGAATTAGATATAAATTGTGTTTGCTGACTTTTGCCAGCAACCATGTCAAAACTCTTATTAATTCTAATAATTTCTTTATATTTTATCATTGCATTTTAATACACACTTTAGTATTATCTTGCCAATTTCTGCTAAAAACTACCTGAGATTTTGTAGGATTGTGTTGAGTAGACAAATTTGGGTGGGGGGAGTGGGTATTACATTTTTAACAATAATAAATATCTTGATCTGTTAGTATAAGTTGCTTTTCTATTTACTTAGATCTTTAATTTCTTTAAATAATGTTTCCATTTATGGTGAGACATCTTCACTTCTTTGGATTAATTTATTCCTAAGTATTTTATTCTTTTGATGCTGTCTTAAATTGAATTATTTACATTTTTAGTTTATTTTATTGTATTTTTAACTTTTATTTTAAATTCGGATTACAGATGCAGGTTTGTTATCTGGGTAAACTTGTGTCATGGGGGTTTGTTATACAGATTATTTCATCACCCAGGTTTTTAGCCTAGTACCCTTTAGTCAATTTTTCTGATCCTCTCCCTTCTCCCACCCTGCACCCTCCAAAAACAAATATCATTTAACCTAGCAATCCCATTACTGGGTAGGTACCCAAAGGAATATAAATCATTCTATTTTTTTATTTTTTGTAGAAACAGGGTCTCATTATATTGCCCAGACTGGTCTTGAACTCCTGGCCTCAAGTGACCTGCTGGCCTCAATCTCCCAAAGTGTTGGGATTACAGGCTTGAGCCACCAGGCTCAGCCTGTATATAGATTATATAATTGATTTTTGTGTATTGATAGTTACATCCTGCAACATTGTTGAGCTTTTTTATTAGTTATAATAACTTTCATTTTATTTCTTAGGATATTCTGTATATATAAAATCATGTTAACTACACATAGGATAATTTACTTCTTTCTTTTGTATCTGAATGTCTTTTATTTTATTTTCTTGCCTAATTGTCCTGGTTAGATTGTTTAGTACAATGTTGAATAGAAGTCGTGAACCTGGGCCGGGCACGGGGGCTCACACCTGTAATCCCAGCACTTTGGGAGGCCAAAGTGAGTGATTGCTTGAGGCCAGGAGTTAGAGACCAGCCTGGCCAAAATAGTGAAAACCCATCTCCACTAAAAATATATACAAAAAAATTATTCCAGTGTGGTGGTGCGTGCCTGTAGTCCCAGCTACTAGGGAGGCTGAGGCATGAGAATCGCTCAAACCTGGGAGGTGGAGGTTGCAGTTAGCGGAGATCGCACCACTTCACTCCAGCCTGGGCGACAGAGTGAGTTCTATCTCAAAAAAAAAAAAAAAGAAAAATTAGTGAACCTGGACATACATTCTTGTATTGTTCCTCATCTTATCAGGATAATGTATAGTCCTTCACCATTTTTAACGTGATGTTAGTTTACATTTTTCACAGACACCTTTTATTAGTTTGAGTAAGTTCACTAGTTTTCCGTGTTCATTAACTGTCATAAAAAGAAGTTTGTATTTTTCTAATGGTTTTTCTGTAGCTATTGAGATGACCATGAGGTTATTGTTCTTTAACCTATTAATATAATACATTATATTAATTGATTTTCAGCTGTTGAACCAACCTTGCATCCTCAGGATAAATTCCCACTTGGTCATATTATATAATCCTATTTATGTGTTGCTGGCTTTGTTGTCCTAGTATTTTGTTAGGTTCTCTATTTGTATGAAAAAGAGATATTTATCTGTAGCTTTCTTATGGTGCTTTTGTGTTGTTTGGTGTCAAGGCCTCATAGAAGGAGGTTGGATATATTTCCTCATTTTCTATGTTTTGAAAATTTGCGAGAGAGAGGTGTTATGCTTCAAATTTTCTCTAGAATTTACTAATGAAGCCATTTGGGCATTTATTTGTGGGAAGTTTTAAGATTTTTAATGTATTCCCTATGATTTGTTTCAATCCATTCAGATATTTTAATTTTTCTTGAATCAGTCTTGGTAGTTTGTTTCTAGAAATTATTCCCTTTCATATAAGTTATCCTAATTTTGACTTACAGTTTTTTATAGTATTCACTTTCATATTTAAAAAAAAATATTTCTGTAAGGTCAGTAGTAATTTTAGCAATGTAAGTCTTCTTTATTTTTTTTCTTGGTCGGTGTAGATAGTGTTTTTAATTTATTCATCTTTTCAGAGAACCAAATTAGATTTTCTTGACTTTCTCTATTGTTTTTCTTTTCCATTAATTTCTGTTCTAACTTTTATTATTCCCTTCTTTATACTTGCTTTGTATTAAATTGTTTCTCTTTTTCCTGTCTCTTAGCAAGAAAAATAACGCTATTTAGTTGGGATCTTTCTCTTTTTTAAATATAGAATTTACAGCTATATATTTATCTTAAAGCGCTGCTTTTGCTGCATCTCATAGAATTTAGTATGTTGTGTCTTTATTTGCATTTATCTTAAACTATTTTCTAACTTCCTATCTGTGAGCATTGGTTACTTAGAAGTATTCATTATTACTTTTAAATATTCCTGCATATTCTTAAATGTCCAAAATTTCCTTCTTATTGATTTCCAATTTAGTTTTATTATGGCTGGAAAACATGTATGATCTCAATTTTATAAGAATTTTTTCAGGCTTGTTTTATGACAGCACATATGTTCTATTCTGCAGAATGTTCCATGTGCACTTGAGAGGAAAGTGCATTTTGCTTTAATGGCTTCGGTGTTCAGTACGTATCTGCTATGTCTAGTTGGCTTATAGTGTTGTTCAAACATGTATTTTCAAATTCTTATATTTCCTTGCTGATCTTCTGTCTAGTTGTTCTACTTATTATTGGAAATTGAGTATTAAAGTTTCCAACTACTATTGTTGAAGTGTCTCTCTCTTTTATTTTGTCAGTTTTTTTAAATATAATTTTGGCTTCTGATATTAGTGCATATATGTTTGTAATTGTTACACCTTCCTGATGTATTGAGTCTTTTATCACTATAAACTATTGCTTTGTATCTCTGGTAATATTTATTTTTTGTTTTAAAGATGATTTCATCTGAAGTTAATGTAGGCACTCTAGCTCTCTCAGGGTTGCTATTTGTATTGTATGACTTTTGAAATATTTGTACTCAAGCTAGTTGTATCTTTGAATCTAAAGCATATCTCCCTTCCAAAGTGTATAATTGTTTTGATGGTTCTTATCTAGTCTAATGATCTTTCACTCTTGATTGGATTATTCAATCCATTCACATTTAATGTTATTATTGATACTGTTGGATTTGCATCTGCTAGTTTTCTTTTGGTATTGTATGTCTCACGTCTCTTTTTGTTTCTCTGTTCCCCCATACTATTTTTTCATTTAATAAACATTTCCTGGTATTAATTTTAACTATATCTTTTAGTTACTTGCTTAGTGGATGCACTAGGGTTTATAATATATACCTTACCTTATGAGAATTAGCATCAGACTTATACTATCTTAATTCCAGTGAGCTGGATGAGTTTTAATCTTATAAAGCTCTATTCCTTCTTTCTTCTTTTTGTGCTACTATTGAATATTTTATCATCAATTATGATGTTTTCTCTTAAGCTTTTTTAGGAGGCAAGATGGACAAACATTTCAATAAATCACTATTTCTTAAAAATCTGGAATGAATATTAAATTTTACCAGATGCTTTTTCTACATTTATTGAAATAATTATATAATTTATTCTTTATTCAGTTAATGTGATGAATTATCTTGCTTGATTATTTTTTCTGTATCAACTTTGCATTTCTGGAATAAGTACATATTGATCCTGATAATATTATTATTTTAAAATATTGTTGGCATTAGTCAATTAATATTTTACTGAGAAATTTTTATCTATATTTGTGAGTTTGGCTAGATGATTCTTGTCATATTTTAGTACTGAGTTTACTACATTGTCAAGTTGAAGTTAATTAATTTTTTATAATTTCTTAAAGTTTTTTTTCTTAAGTTTGAAAGAAATCACTACTAGGAATATATTTATTCCATCTAAGTTTTCAAATATGAATTTCAAAATTTTGGAATTTGAAATTTCTTCTCAATAAACTATATTATCGTTAGGCAGACATGAGTATGAATCTGGTTTCACCCACCTATCAGCTATGAGAACTTAGAAAATTCAGTTGATTTCTCTGATCTTCAGTTTTCTAATGATTAACACATGGATAATTAATAGTACCTATTGCATTTCTGATAGCAAATTTTCTATATGGACTACTCCTGATGGTACAAATTATTTAAAATTCAAGATAAAATGTATAAATAATTCTTTAGCTGGAAGAGAAAGCAGAAAAATCCTCAAACAGTATAAAACATCAGTACAGAGCTAACTTTGGCCTTGAGGCATCTGTGAATCTCCAGTAGCTTACAAATTAGGCTTACAAAACCTAAAGCCAAGTAGGATAAGACTCCACAAAAATCCAGATTCCCTAAAATGCATTACTCTTGATAGAATCTTGGGAAAAATCTTGCCATTCAGTAGGAATGTGTGGAGATGTATAGCGTTCTTAGTCTAGATCCTGAGTAAAGTAGAAAAAAACTAGTGCTCTCCAAGAAGTCTTAGCTACAAGTCAGAAGTCAATGAGTTGGGACTAGAATTCACAAGATTTTTGTGCCTTAGAAAAAAGAAAACAACTGAAGTCAATTTCTGTTTAAAGTTGTTCTGAGTTGGCAGTGTACCCAGGTATCTGGAAAGAACAAACACAAATCTTCTTTATAGGAAGCACTTTCAGTCTGACCTGAATGTGTTTACAGAGAAAGTTTAAAAGGATATAAATATATGCACACAGCAGGAAACATCTAAAAAAATAAGCCGCTATAAGCAAAAGTCAGCAGACGTAATGAACTACAGACTCAGTCTGTAGGTTCTGCATATACTAGGTCCTAGAATCATCCAATACTGAATTACATATCTATGTATCTATATCTATATATAAACATGTGTGTGTATATATATATATTTATATATAGCTGTAGATAGAATTAAGACTTTATGAAGAATAGAGAACTACTGTAGTATAATTTTGGTAGGCTTTAGGCACTTAGGCCTTCCTGCATAAATAAATAAATAAGATAAATAAATGTATACACACACATATAATTTATATTTTATGACTGTGCTGGTATAAGCACAAATATATTAATATTACATATCAAAACATTTTCTTCAATCCAAAGGTTATTTTATTTCTTCTAGTTTTATAATAATTAAAACATTTTAAGGAAATGTGCCAGGAGCCCTAGGCATTGTACCTAATGGATAATTTGGCCCTTGGAGGAAGCAATAAGATGGTATTGACAGCCAGATTTAGAAAGTAACCAAATAGAATTTTTAGACTTTAAAAGATTTAATTATAAAAATTATAATTTTAATAGTGGCCTAATAACAAATTCGACACAGCTGAAGAATGAATTGTTATAATAAACTGAGAGATTTTAAAACACGTTTTCTCATTTCTAATCTAATAATATTTTTACTACATTCTGATTTCTATTTACTAAGCAGTTTGTGGTCATTGGCCTTATTTTGTGCCTAGAACTGTGTTATGTGGGATTAGGGTATAAAACAGAAAAGCTATTCACATATGTAATTCCTGTGATTTGAAAATTCCCAAAAGTTTTGTGCATAAGAAATCTGGAGCAACGATCTTTAAAATAGACTCCACATATCTATCCTTTAAAATAAAATAGTTCATGCTCAAAAAAATCCAGCACTATTTGGAATATAGGGTTTAAATTTTGATACATTTTTTTCAATTTTGTTTTGAGCTTTATTTTCTAAAATGATCTAAAGAATCATTTCCTTTGACTTCTTCCCACTATGCAGGGAAGTAAGACTTTGAAGAAGTATATGGCTTATTCTTGTTCTTTAACATTCAAATGTGGCTCTTATCCCCACTATATCTAAACACTTTTTATTTTTATATGTACACCTCATTAAGTAGATAGTAAGTACTCTTAAATGAAGCAAGACACCAGTGCAGTCTCTTTATTCCTTCACGTGACTAATATGGTCTTGCCACATGGTATATGTGAAATCAATACACTTCTCAATGCTTCTTGTTTATAGAAAATCCTCACTTTGATTTTATTGTTTGATTCTTTTATGTTCTCTTATTTTTTTTCACTTCAATTTGTCTTTTATAAGTGTCTTGAGTATTCTTACGGTATCAAGTTGACAAGTACTAGCATTCAAGAAATTATGCAATCTGCTTTTGTATGACTTTGTTTGTAGAGCCCTAATGAATCCATTTACTCATCTATTCTATTCTTCCATAGAAATTTATTAAGGATCCACTCTTTGTCAGTCATGGTGCTTAACACTAAGCATAAAAAATTTTAAAAGACAGAAGTTCTCTGTCCTCCCAGATCATAGATGAACAATAAACAGGTAACAAATGGAAGGATTGATTCATCATTGCAAGGTTCATAAGCTGGGTATCATCATGGAGAATAGAAAAATACAGGTATCTACTTTGGATACAGTTTTCAGAAGGGGGCTCTCTGGAGCAGTGACATTAATTTGGGGCAAAGGATGAGAAGAAACCAGCCAAGACAAAGCTTGGCAGAAAGCAATCCCGGCAGAGGGAACAATTATGCCAAAAGCACTATGTGGGAAGTAAGTTTAGTGGCCAAGGAACTGAGAGAAAGATAAATCATACTGAGCTTTGGGGCCATAGGAGGTAGACTATTACAGTGAGAAGACTCTGAGGTTTTGTTAAGCAGATGAGTGAGTGAGATTAATGTTTACATCAGTTACACTTGCTGCTCTGTAGAGAATGAATAGGAGAGGCAGAGAGGGAGAGAACTTAGGAGGCTGAGAGAGCAGCCTCAGTTAGAGGTTGTGAAGGCTTTGACGAGGCTCCAGGGGAAATATTTTTATGTTTCTGCACATTCAGGGCTTTTTGAGTAAATTTTACTGGAACTTGAGACATGGCCTTAAAGAGTAAGATTTGGAAGTTAAATTGCAATTGATTGAATAATGATATGCCGTTCAGAGAGATAGTCCTCCACTGCACAATTATTTTATCCTCATCTTAGATACATACATTTGCACTCACACACACACACACACATGCATATACATTTACATTTCAAAGAGTAAGAACCAAGGAGACTTCAAAAGTTGAATTTGTTTATTTAAGGAGTAAACATTTTCTCTCCATTTCTCAGGGGAGGAGTGAGGACAACTTTCCCTCTACTATATAACCACTGTGATTCATATTTTCATGATTCCACATCTACTATACAGATCCTGCCTTGTACGATGACATCTAGCTCTCCAAGAATCAGAGCAAAGAATATTCAGTGAAGTTTGCTATGAATAATAACTAACCTGTATGTGCCTCAGGAAACATCATGTTTACATTCATAATAATATTACTAAATATAGATGTTAAAAACTTAGCACTGTGAGAAGGGAGGCAAGATGGCAAATTAGGCATAGCCAAGAAGAGCTTCTCCCACCAAGAGAAACAAGACCATCAAGTAGACTAGCATATTCCCAACAGATCTTTGAAAAGAAGGCATTGAGAGTGGATAGAAAGAGGATACAGACCTGGGGCTGAAGCAGGAGGAAGCTGAAAACCCTGCAAGGGGTTGCTGAGCACCAGGACTCATTTTGGCCCCAAGCAGCTCCCAGGGAAAAGGTGAGTTTGAATAGGCATAGAGTGGCCCCCTCTCATCACAGACCTCCAGAATCTTAGCTGCAGCAGACTACATGATTCTCATGGATATTTGAGCTGGCAGGGAACTGCCCAGAGAGTTGATGGAGACAGAATTGTAGCCTGTGTAGAGCCCAAAGAGTTTGACATGGGAACGGCTGCAGTGGATCATAACCTTAGGATCCCATCCTCCAAGGCTTGCCATGCTCCTCTAGGTGGCTTTAGCCTGTGTTGGCTGCTAAACTTGGACAGAACAGTGCTATCTTGTCCATGGGATGTGGCCAATATGATATGAGTACCCCTCTGTCTTCAGATCTATTATGGGGTCCCTGGCTGGGTGTATCTGCTTGCAGCGCAGCCTCAGCTGCCAAGCCAAGATGCTTACCGGCAGCCATCACCATAGCTCTTTTCATGGCAGACCTCTCCTAACAGTTGGATAGCTTCTGTAAGTGGGCATCCACCAGCTAGTACCCATGCACAGCCTTCCCCCATCGGCGTGCACTCGCCTGCAGCCTCCTCCTGCTGCTTTTCAAATGGATACATGCACATGGGTCCTGCCATCACCTACCACCCCCGCACTGAAGCACTTTTGCCAGCATCCCCCATCGGAGTGTTGTTGCAAGTGGACTGGGAACACCTTGGGTCCTCCAGTGCAGGAAGTGCATAACCTCGAGGGGCCAGAGAAAAAAGCCGTAAGACTGGTCCCAGTCCTTCAGGGTTAGAGCACAAATCCTAGGATTGCTGAGCTGAGCCTTGACTCCGTGAAATCATCCAGAAATAAAGCCGATCATCTAAATTCGACTTATACCACAGCCAAAAGCAAAAAGCCCCATCCAAAGTGGCAATTTTAAAGATTAAGGACACTTCAGCCCAAATAGATGAGGAAGAACCAACATAAGAATTCTGGAAAGTCTAAAATCCAGAGAACCTCCAAACAACTATAGTAGCTCCCAGCAATGGTTCTTCCATAGACTAAAATGGCTGAAATTACAGACATAGGATTCAGAATCTGGATGACAATGTAGATTAATGAGATTCAGGAGAGAAATGAAACCCAATCCAAGGAATCTAGGGAATCCAGTGAAATGACACAAGCAACACAAGAGCTGAACGATGAAATAGCCATTTTAAGAAAGAACTGAATTGATCTTCTAGAGCTGAAAAACTCACTACAGTAATTGTACAATGCAATTGGAAGTATTAACAGAATAGACCAAGCTGAGGAAAGCTTCTCAGAGCTCAAAGACCACTTCTTCAAATCAACTCAAACACAAACAAATTAAAAAAATAATTTTAAAAAATGAACAAAACCTCTGGGAAATATGGGATTATGTAAAGAGACCAAATCTATGATTCATTGGCATCCTAGAAAGAGAAGGAGAGGCAAGCAACTTGTAAAACATATCTGAGGATATTGTCCACAAAAATTTTCCCAACCTCACGTGCAAATCTAGAAAATTCAGCTAAATTAAATGAGATGCTATACAATATGACCATCCACAAGACACGTAGTCATCGTATTCTCCAAGGTCAATGCAAAATAAAAGATATTAAAGGCAGCTAGAGAGAAGGGGCAGATCACGTACAAAGGGAACCCTATCAAGCTAACAGCAGATATTTTAGCAGAAACTTTAGAAACTAGAAGAGTAATGCCTATATTCAGCATCCTTAAAGATAAGAAATCCCAAACAAGAATTTTTTTATTCAGCCAAACTAAGCTTCATAAGCAAAGGAGAAATAAAATTCTTTTTGAATAAGCACATGCTTACGGAATTTATTACCACCACCTGCCCTTACAAGAAGCCCTTAAGGGAGTGCTATACATGGAAATGAAAGACCATTACTTGTCACCACAAAAAGAAGTATACAGCCCACTAGACTATAAAGCTACTGTACAATAAAGTCTACACAACAACCAGCTAGCAACAGAAAGACAGGATCAAATCCTCACATATCAACATTAACCTTAAACCCAAATGGGCTAACTGCTCCACTTAAAGGGCAAAGAGTGGCAAACAGGATAATAAAACAAGACCCAACTGTATGCTATCTTCAAGAGACCCATCTCCCATGCAATGACACCCATAGGCTCCAAATAAAGAAATGGGGCCGGGCGCGGTGGCTCACGCCTGTAATCCCAGCACTTTGGGAGGCCGAGGCGGGCGGATCATGAGGTCAGGAGATCGAGACCATCCCGGCTAAAACGGTGAAACCCCGTCTCTACTAAAAATACAAAAAATTAGCCGGGCGTAGTGGTGGGCGCCTGTAGTCCCAGCTGCACGGGAGGCTGAGGCAGGAGAATGGCGTGAACCCGGGAGGCGGAGCTTGCAGTGAGCCGAGATCCCGCCACTGCACCCCAGCCTGGGCGACAGAACGAGACTCCGTCTCAAAAAAAAAAATAAAAAATAAAAAGAAATGGAGAAATATCTATCAAGAAAATGGAAAACAAAAAGAGCAGAGGTTGCTATTCTTATTTCAGACAAAACAGACTTTAAGCCAAAAATGATCAAAAAAGACAAAGAAGAGCATTACATAATGATAAAGGGTTTAATTTGACAAGAAGTTTTAACTATTCTAAATATTTGGGTACCCAGCTCTGGAGTACTCAGATTTATAAAACAAGTTCTTGAAGACTTAGTTAACTACACTGTAACAGTAGGAGACTTCAACACTCCACTGACAGTGTTAGATATCATCAGGCATAAAATGAATAAAGACATTTAAGACCTCAATGCAACACTTCACAACATGGAACTAACAGACATCTACAGAACAATCCATCCAACAGTAACATAATATACATTCTCATCTGCATATGGCACATAATCTAAAATCAATCATATGCTTGGCTATAAAGGAATTATCTAAAAATTCAAAAAATGGAAATCATACAAAGACACTATTGGATCAGAGTGCAATAAAAATAGAAATCAATACCAAGAAGATCTCTCAAAACCATATAATTACATGGAAATTAAACAGCCTGCTCCTGAATGACTTTGGGGAAAGAATGAAAATAAAGCAGGAATTAAGAAATTATTTGAAACTAATGAAAACAAAGATATAGCATACCAGAATTTCTGGGACACAGTTAAAGCAGTGTTAAGAAGAAAGTTTATAGCATTAAATGCCTACATCAAAATGTCAGAAATATCTCAAATTAACAGTTCTAACATCATATGTAGAGGAACTAGAAAAACAAGAGCAAACCAACCCCAAGCCTAGCAGAAGAAATAACCAAAATCAGAGCTGAATTGAATGAAACTTACACATGAATCCATAAAAAAGATAAAAAAAAAGTTGATGTTGTGAAAGCATAAATAAGAAAGACAATTAGCTAGACTAATAAAGAAAAAAGAGAGAAAATTCAAATAAATGCAATCAGACATGACAAAGGTGACATTACCACTAACCCCACAGAAATACAGAAAATCCTCAGAGGTTTTTATGAACACCGCTATTCACATAAACTACAAAACCTAGAAGAAATGGATAAATTCCTGGAAACATATAACATGCTAAGATTGAACCAAGAAGAAACAGAATACCTGAACAGACCAAGAATGAGCTCCAAAATGGAATCACTAATAAAAAATCTAACCAGAAAAAGCCCTGGATCAGATGGATTCACAGTCAAATTCTTCCAGATGTATACAGAAGATCTCATACCAAATCTATGGAAACTATTCAAAAAATCAAAGAGGAGGTATTACTCTGTAACTCATTCTATGAGGCCAGCATTGTTTTGGTACCAAAACCTGACACAGACACAAGAACAACAGCAAAAGCTTCAGGCCAATATTCCTAATGCATATAGAAGCAAAAATCCTCAACAAAATACAAGAAAATCAACTGGAGCAGCACATCAAAAAGCTAGTCCACCACGGTCAAGTAGGCTTTATTCCTAGGATACAGGATTGGTTCAACATATGCAAATAAATAAACGTGATTCATCACATAAAGAGAACTTAAAAACCACATGATTATCTCAATAAATGCTGAAAAGGCTTTTGATTAACATTCCACATCCCTTCATGATAAAAACCTTCAACAAACTGGGCCTTGAAGGAATACACCTCAAAATAATAAAAGTCATCTATGACACCCACAGCTAAAACCATACTGAGTGGGCAAAAGTTGGAAGCATTCCCCTGGAGAACCAGAGCAAGACAAGAATGCCCACGCTGACCATTTCTATTAAACATAGTACTGGAAGTCCCAGCCAGAATAATCAGGCAAGAGAAAGAAGTAAAAGTCATCCGAATAGGAAGAGACGAAGTCAAACCACCTGTCTTTGCAGACAATATGATTCTATACTTACTAATTTCCATAGTCTCTGCCCAAATGTTCCTAGAACTGATAAACAACTTCAGCAAAGTTTCACAATACAAAATCAATACATGCAAATCAGGAGCATTTCTATACACCAATAATGTCCAAGCTGACAGCCAAATTAAGAACCCAATCCCGTTCACAGTCCTCACCAAAAGAATAAAATATGTAGGAACACAGCTAACCAAGGAAGGGAAAAATCTCTACAAGAAGAGTTACAAAACAGTCCTGAAAGAATTCAGAGACGACATAAACAAATGGAAAAACATTCCATGCTCATGGATAGGAGTCAATATAGTTAAAATTGTCATACTTCCAACAGCAATTTACAGATTCAATGCTATTCCTATCAAACTACCAATGTCATTTTTGACAAAATTAGAAAAAAGCTATTCTAAAACTGAAACCAAAAAAGGAGCCTGAATAGCCAAAGCAATCCTCAGCACAAAAAAAAAGCTGGAGGCATCACCTGACTTCAAACTATACTACAAGGCTACAGTAAGCAAAACAGCATGGTATTTGTGTAAAAACAGACACATAGACCAATAGAACAGGTCAGAGAACCCTAAATAAATCTACACACCTGCAACCATCAGATCTTTCACAAAGCTGACAAAAACAAGCAATGGGGAAAGGACTCCCTATTAAATAAACGGTGCTGGTATAACTGGCTAGCCACATGCAGAAGACTGAAACTGGGCCTCTTCCTTTCCCCACATACAAAAATCAACTCAAGATGGATTAAAGACTTAAACATAAAACCTAAAAGTATAAAAATTCCTAGGAGAAAACCTAGGAAATACTATTCCAGACATAGGCCTTGGTAAAGATTTCATGACAAAGACCCCAAAGCAATGGCAACAAAAACAAAAATTGACAAATGGAATCTAATTAAACTAAAGAGCTTCTGCACAGCAAAAGAAACTATCAACAGCATAAACAATCTACAGAATGGGAGAAAATATTCTCAAACTATGCATCCAAAAAGGTCTAATATCAAGTCTATAGAGAACTTAAACAAATCAACAAGCAAAAACCAAACAATCTCATTAAAGAAGGGCAAAGGACATGAATAGACACTTCCCAAAAGACGACATGCATGTGGCCAACAAGCATAGGAAAAAATGTTCAATATCACTCATTAGAGAAATGCAAATCAAAACAGCACAATGAAATACCATCACACACCAGTCAGATTGGTTATTATTGAAAAGTCAAAAAATAACATGTTTGTGAGGGTGCAGAGAAAAGGAAATTGTTATACATTGCTGGTGGGGATATAAGTTAGTTTAACCACCATGGAAAGCAGTTTGGATATTCTCATAGAAATGAAAACAATCTACCATTTGACCCAGCAATCTCATTACTGGGTACTTACCCAAAGGAATGTACATGGTTCTGCATTAAAGACATTTGCATGCATATATCCATTGCAGCACCTTTCACAGTAGCAGGGACATGGAATCAACCTTGATGCCCACCACTGTTAAACAGCATAAAGAAAATGCAGCATACATACACCATGGAATACTACAGAGCCATCGAATGAATGAAGTCATGTCCTCTGCAGCAATGTGGATGTCCCTGGAGGTCATTATCTTAAGCAAATTAATGCAGGAATAGAAAACCAAATACTGCATGTTCTCACTTATATGTGGATGCTAAACACTGAGTACACATGTACACAAAGAGGGGATCAATAGTCACTGGGAATTACTTAAGGGTGCAGGGTGGGAGGAGGGTGAGGACCGTAAAACTACCTATCAAGTAGTATGGTCACTACCTGGGTGATGAAATCATTTGTACACCAAACCTTACTGACACACAACTTACCTATGTAGCAAACGTGCACACGTACCCCCGAACCTAAAAAAAAGAAAGAGTTGGAAGAAAGAAAAAAAACACTGTCATTGGAGATGACAAAAAGTTGAAAAAATTAAAATATATTTGTAAAGAGATTCCAAAAAAAAAAAAAAAAAAGACCTTTCTGATGGATTAAATGAGGGTTGGGGGACAAAAGAAAGGAGTCAATGATCACTCCAAGTTTTATTGAGATGAGGAAAGACTGAGGGAGGAGGAGGTTGTGGATAAAACAATAAAATTCTGTTTTGGTCAACTTAAGTGTAAAATATATATGAGGCATAACATCAAGTTTTTAATTATGCAATTGGATGTGCATATCTCTGGCTAGAAAAAAAATCAACTTGAAGTCACACTTTCACTCTTTTGTCTCACTGAAGGCTATAATTCACAAGCATGTTATGCTTCCTAAACGACAGAGCTCAGTGACTACTCCACTAGTTTAATTGACTGAAGAGGACTGAAAGAAGATAAGAATTCCAGAACTAGCTCACAAACTAGTCTTTTGACATTGAAGGTGTTAGACTGGAAAACAGTGAATATCTTAATCAACTCTGTAATTCTGTGATTCTAATTATTTTTTAAATTTTTTTCATTAATGAATCCATGTTGGTTATATAACGCAAGTTGCAACTGTATCCAAATTGTTCCTGTAAAGTTAAACTCAATCTAGTAGACTTTCTTTCTAAGAAGAAATAATCAGCCAAAGTTTGCAGACATCAACAGTTCTGGTTAAAAAATTGCTTCTAAGAAAACACCTCAATATTTCACTGGTCTTCAATAACTATTACAATCAACTATTATTCTGATAGTTGACTGGCATAACTGAGTAGTTCTCATTTGATTTATTGTGTAGTTGCATTCTGATGATGTTTTGAGCTGAAGGCATCTGAAGATATCCCCAGTCACATTTTCAGTGCCTGGGATAGAATGATTAGAAGAGACAGGTGCCAGTTGGTCACCTCTCCCTCCACCTGGCCTTTTCATATAGCTAGCATGGATTTGCTAACAGCCTGGGGATCTCCAGACAGAGGCTTCTTTCATAGAAGGGAGAAGCTGCAGTGACTCCTCTTATTTAGTCACATAAGTCACACAGCATTAATTTTATAATATTTTACTGATCTTAACAGTCTTTGGCCCCTCCACATTCAGGGAGTTTTGAGAAATAAACTCCATCTCTGAGTGGCAGAATGGCTAGCTTCGGGAGGGGTGGAGAGGATTGACAGTGGTTATCTTGGAAACAATCTAGCACATCCCTCTGATCATCATCTGGTTTGAATGAAAAACAATAGTTTTTTCATATCTCAGCCTCCAGTCAGGGGTGCTGACCAGATGGAATAATTAGTGGGCTGCTAACCAGAACACATGTTCTAAGGAAGAATGTATAAGGCTGATTCTCTCATCCAGCTGTGACTCATACCTCTAAAAAGCACTCCGAGGCTGGCATACCTGACAGCACCCTACTTTGGTCATGTCCTCTCCCATCTCCATACGTGCTAGCACCTTCAATGTCAAAAGACTGATTAGTGAGGCAGTTCTGGAATTCTAATCTTTCAGACCTCTTCAGTTTAATTAACTAGTGGAGGAGTCACTGAACAAGTAGGAAGCATACTATCTTGTGAATAACTATAGCCTGTGGTGAGATAAAAGAGTGAAAGTGTGGTTTCAAATTCCCTTAAGACTATAACACATTGTAATTTTTTTTTCTAGCCAGAGATGTGCACATCCAATTGCATAAATGAAAACTTACTGTTATGCCTCATAAACATTTTACAAGAAATGGAAACCCTACCATATTTGCAATCTGACCTCCCTTGTGGCTAATCATGGTTTTTCCACTTTTATATTTTTGAGAATTCTAGAGCACAGAATCTCCCCAGTCTACTCAAGAACAGTAGTCCTTAAACTGTGGTTTGGGTACACATGGCAATACAGGAACCGATGGTGATACAGGTAACCATGGTGACACAGAAAATCTTCTCATCAGGGTAATTGCAGGAAGAGTTTTAAAGGAATCCATTTCCAGATCCTTAACATCCATATGTGCTCTTTGTCAAATTTATCTGCTTGAGAATGAACCAGCATTAATGAATTCTTTCTTTTAATTTACCAAAAATAAATAAATGATAAACTAACAAATAAATAAAGTTCTTCACCCACGCTAAATCTTACAGTGATGTTGTAAAATCCACCAGGGCTTCGAACAAAGAAGAAATGGAAATGTTGGCTTAAGGAACATTTTAGTATTTAATTTCAGAAACATAAATATGCAGGATTTCCTGACTTGATATGTATTTTGGTGGGGGACAAAGCTTGCTGTAAGGTATTTTGGCCTATTTGTCGGTGCTGTAAACTCACATAGCTTAAGCAGCATAAGTTAGTGATTCTTTGAAATGTAGTTGGAATGCTTTAAAGAACCATCATACATTTCAAAGTACATTGTATAAAACACATGGGTAAAATTTTACATAATGCATTTCAAATATTGTGTGTTTAACTCAATACACAGGTGAAATCGTTTTTCAAATTACATTATAAAATGTTCATCCCAGTTATATACATTCATATTATTTCATCTTGTAATAGTTTCTGGGTATCATAAATAAGTTATATTAATTTAGACTCATAATGAAAATATTTAGATGTCAAATTAAAATGTGTAGAGAATATGTAGTTTTATCAAAATTCTCTTAAGGGTTGTATAAACTAAATGAAATGCTACTTATGCTCTATTTCTTATCACTGTATTCATCTGGCTTTATTGAATTACTTGTTATTAGTTTGACTTCACCTTTGGACCGTAGGTCACATTACTGCAAAGATAATATCTGTCTATTATGGCTGTATCCAAGATACCTACCACAAAGCCTCACATTACTAGACATTCAATGAGTGAATTGAATATAAGCATGAATGAATGAGTGAGTGCATGAGCAAAGCAGCAGGTATATAAAACACAGCAGCCTTTTCCCTTGTTTAAACTTTTATTGATTATTTTCTGAGCCACCTACTCTACTACTTTTTGAGGTTTAATGCCTTTATCATAATATTATGTCATCTATTTTGCAAAGTGCTATAATCATATTAGCTGAAGAGTGTATATGTTAAATGCTATTTGACTATTTGACTTTTTAAAGAGCAGTTATATTGAGATATAATTTACATACCATAAAGTTAGCCCTTTTAATTTTCAGTGTAAAATTTAATGTAAAATTCAGTGGTTTATAGAATACTCTCAGAATTGTTCAGTGATCATTACTATCTAATTTTAGAACACTTTCATTACCTGAAAAAGAAACCTTATAGCAGCAGTCACCTCCCTCTCAGTTTATGCAACCACTAATCTCTGTTTCATAGCTTTGCCTATTCTAGACATCTTATTTTATTTACTTATTTTTGAGACAGTTTCACTCTGTCACTCAGGCTGGAGTCCAATGGCATGAACTCAGCTCACTGCAACCTCCGCTTTCTGGGTTCAAACGATTCTCCTGCCTCAGCCTCCTGAGTAGCTGGGATTACAGGCATGCGTAGCCATGCTTGTTAATTTTTCCATTTTTAGTAGAGATGGGGTTTCACCATGTTGGCCAGACTGACCTAGAACTCTTGACCTCAAGTGATCCACCCGCCTCGGTCTCCCAAAGTGTTGGGATTACAGGTGTGAGCTACAGTGCCCAGCCTAGACATTTTATATAAGTGGTACTACACAGTATCTGATCTTTTGTGACTGGCTCTTTCACTTAGAATAATACTTTCAATATTTTTTTTCATGTTGTACCGTGAATCAACAATTTGTTTTTTAAAACTGATGAACAATATTATATTTTATGGATTTATCACGTTTTGTTGATCCATTAATCAGTTGATGGACATTTGGGTTGCTTCTACGTTTTGGCTACTATGGCTAATGTTGCTCTGAGCATTTATGTACAAGTTTTAGAGGGACATATGTTTCTATTTTTCTTAGGTGTATACCTAGGAGCAGAATTATTGGTTTACATGGTAACTCTGTTTAACAATATGAGGAACCACCAACTCTATTCCAAATTGGCATCATTCATGAGTATATTTTTATGGACTTAATGACCATTTATAACACCTTTTTGGGGGAATTGTTAATTCAAATCCTTTGCTCCCAAAATTGGACTGTCTTTTTATTGTTAAATTATAAGAGTTCTTTGTACATTTTGGATACAAGTCTGTCATCAGATATATGATTTATAATTTTTTTTCCCATTCTGTATTTTTTTTCTTTTTTCTTTTTTTTTTTTAGACAGAGTGTCACTCTGTCACCCAGGCTGGAGTGCAGTGGCGCAATCTGAGCTCACTGCAAACTCCACCTCCCAGGTTCAAGCGATTCTCATGCCTCAGCCTCCCCAGTAGCTGGGATTACACGTGTGCGCCATCACGACCAGCTCATTTTTGTATTTTTAGTAGAGGTAGGGTTTCACCATGTTGGCCAGGCTGGTCTCTATCTCCTGCCTCAACCTCCCAAAGTGCTGGGATTACAGGCGTGAGCCACCACGCTTGGCCTTTTTTCCTTTTTTTTTTTTTTTTTTTTTTTTTTGACAGAGTCTCACTCTGTCGCCCAGGCTAGAGTGCAATGGCGTGATCTCAGCTCAATGCAAGCTCTGCCACCTGGGTTCACGCCATTCTCCTGCCTCAGCCTCCTGAGTAGCTAGGACTACAGGCGCCCGCCACCACGCCTGGCTAATTTTTTGTATTTTTAGTAGAGATGGGGTTTCACTGTGGTCTCGATCTCCTGACCTCATGATCCGCCCGCCTTGGCCTCCCAAAGTGCTGGGATTACAGGCGTGAGCCACCGCACCTGGCCTTTTTCACTTTCTTGATGGTGTACTCAATAGCAAAATTTTAGACAATTTGGATGCAATACAGTTTACCTATGTTTTCAATTATCCCTCATGTTTTTGGTGTCATATCTAAGAATATTATTTAATTTGTTTTTTATTTTTATAGAGACAGGGTCTTGTTATATCGCCCTGGTTGGTCTTGAACTCCTTGACTCAAGCAGTCCTCCTCCCTTAGGCTCTCAAAATGCTGGGGTTACAGGTGTGAGCCACTGGGCCCAGCTTGATTCTTAATAATTATTGTTGAAAATAAATATAAGCATTGCCATGCTGATTAACTTGCTTTCTGTGGCTGCCCTCACTTACAATGCAAATTTTACAGACTCCTCTAGACATTTAGCTGGAACTGCCATGTGTTTTCCCTAAAACCAGCTCATAATAGAGCTGGGCTCACCATAAATCCATTTCCTACTATTCGGTTGAGATCTGCAGGCACTTTTACTTTGTAAAATGGTCTTGCTCACGCCTGTAATCCTAGCACTTTGGGAGGCCAAAGGCAGGTGGATTGCCTGAGCTGAGGAGTTTGAGACCAGGCTGGGCAACATGGCGAAACCCCATCTCTCTGAAAAACACAAAAATTAGTCAGGCATGGTGGTGTGTGCCGTTAATCCCAGCTACTCTGGAAGCTGAGGCATGAGAATCGCTTGAACCTGGGAGGCAGAGTTTGCAGTGAGCTGAGATTGCACACTGCACTCCAGCCTGGGCAACAGAGTGAGAATCTGTCTCAAAAAAAAAAAAGAAAGAGGAAAAAGAAGGAAAAAAAAGCCCTTAGGGGAACATAAGTACTGAGAGTCTTAGCAAGCAAAGAATACATGTTTTGAGATGAAATTGAGGGAAAATAGAGAGTATAGTGTATTTCGGAAAAGGAAATAAGACTGGTTTGTTGGAGGACACACCAGCATGATCTCTTTCTTATTATCCTTGGGATAGATTTCCCAAATGATATTCTAGCCCCTCAGGGCAACAACACAAAACACAGCAAAAAAAAGACAAAAAAACAAAAAACAAAAACAAAAACAAAAAAACTCACAGCATTTACAGGAGTAAAACTAATTGTAATCATATGATTCAAAAGAGCAGTGCTTTTATACTTTCATATGTATACAGATTACCTGTTAAAAACATAGGTTGGCTGGGCACGGTGGCTCACGCCAGTAATCCCAGCACTTTGGGAGGCCGAGGGGGGCTAATCACGAGGTCAGGAGTTTGAGACCAGCCTGGCTAACACGGTGAAACCCCGTCTCTACTAAAAATACAAAAAATTATCTGGGCATAGTGGCGGGTGCCTGTAGTGCCAGCTACTCGGCAGGCTGAGGCAGAAGAATCACTTCAACCTAGGAGGCAGAGGCTGCAGTGAGCCGAGATCATGCCACTGCACTCCAGCCTGGGCAACAGAGCAAGACTCTGTCTCAAAAAAAAAAAAAAAAAAAAAATCAGTCAGGTAGTGATTAAGCAGGTATGGAATGGGGTCTTCAAAAGCCTACATTTTTAACAAGCTGCAGGTAATGATGATGCTGTTGGTCAGGAACCAAACTTTAAACTTTAAATACCAAAGTTGTGGAAGGCAGAAGGGAGCAAAGAGTTCATTCCCTCCTTCAGAAGGGGAGAAACATTCACTTTGCAATCAGGCTGTGTTTATCGAGATGACTGACATTTTTTGCATGTGTTCAGACTTAAAGGTCAGATCTGTTTCCTTCTCAGCAGCTGCGTGGGAATTGCTTATCTCGCACTTTCTGTATGGGGTTTGATTACCTAAGTGAACCAAGAAGTTTCACAATATTTTGGAGAAAAACACTTCTAGTAGCATCCAACATGCAACATTTTAAACCAGCTATGAAATGGCAGGCTTACAAAGTCAACTTGGAATCACATCTCTGGTCCAGGCAAAGGGAATGAAAACCCAGAGACTATCTCCCCGAGAGCCCTGTAGCTGTGTGTGAATGTGTACGTGCAGGGATATGGACTGTAGACCCTGTTACAAATACTAAATATCTGTTTGGAAGAAGGCTGTCCTCACATGTGCCGCTAAAATCATCCACAGGCTAGTCTTAGGCCAAACGGTAAAAGGAAAGAAGCCTATCCTTGGCAATTATTCAAGCAGACAGTCTGACAAGCTTTCCTGAGTGTCTAGTACATACTAAGCACGGTATTCATGTCCCAGGTACAGAGATTAACAAGTCTCTGATCCCCAATGCACATGGCTTGATGGGAAGTCTGGCATTGAAATAGACAATTGCAACATTGTAACGTGTGTGGTATAATAGAGATATACACAGACTGGAGAGAGGTCCAATTCAGCCTCTGGAGGCAGAAAGCTCAGGAATAACTTCTCAGATGTGATGCTTGAATTTGTTGCCCATTTTTTTTATTTTTCCTCCCAAGTGCCTTTATACCATTTAAGGGACTCTTCTGCAAAGAAGACGGAATTTAAGGTAACTTCTTCACTTGGTGTTATTGATGGTGGCATATGATACTTGGTCCAGATAACGGGCCTGAATTTCCAAAGGTATTCACCACTGCGAGCTATTCTTAAAATCTAAGAATGAATTGACAATAATAGAGTTTCACCTACTAGGAAGACAGATCATTTGGGGGCTAGAGTGCTTATGTTCCAGTCCTTAAAAGTCACATCGCTGGAATGACTCCTGATGTTTGTCAGAAGCTGGATCAGATCACAAAAGCCCTTCCTTGGAGCAAGAGGCCTCCGCCAGGACTGAGCTCATTTACTTGACCTGACCCTGAATTTCCGTAGTGGAGACAAGCCTCAGGAAAATACTAACTGCCTGCTGTGTTCCCATACTACAAAAGAGTGATCTGTAGAAGTGACAGGTACTTTCCCCCTCTGGGAGAGAAGGGTCCATGTGTTCTCCTGCCTGGACCCTCTAGCAAGCTACTTAATATGGAATCACACCCCTGGAGGAGATAGGCAAACCCTTGAACAGCCAGGTCAAATCTAAAAGGCAACTGCCTCTAGCTGCAGAGGCAGGTGGCAGCTTAAAGTGGCACCAAGTCATAAAATGATTTCCCTTTTGAGCTTGGGGGAAGATACAATTTTTTTTTTTTTTTTTTGAGACAGAGTCTCGCTATGTCCCCCAGGCTGGAGAGCAGTGGTGCGATCTCGGCTCTCTGCAAGCTCTGCCTCCCAGGTTCACGCCATTCTTCTGCCTCAGCCTCCCGAGTAGCTGGGACTACTCGGGCCCCCACCACGCCCAGCTAATTTTTTGTATTTTTAGTAGAGATGGGGTTTCACTGTGTTAGCCAGAATGGTCTCGAGCTCCTGACCTCATGATCCACCCACCTCAGCCTCCAAAAGTGCTGGGATTACAGGCGTGAGCCACCGCACCTGGCCAGGGGAAGATACATTTTTAAGCAGCATTCCAGGCTAATATGGGAGTACATGGATGCAACACTGTATCTCATGCTGGATTAGCAGCCCTGGAAACCAGAGCTGTCTCTTAATCAAGACTAGGTATTGTGAACCCAGGTAATCTGAGGCAGGTCTCAGTTAATTTAGAAAGGTTTTTTTTTTTGCCAAGGTTGAGGACATGTCCATGACATCTGCCCAAGGTTGTCAGGGCATAGCTTGGTCTTACACATTTTAGAGAGACATGAGACATCAATCAATATATGTAAGAAGTACATTAATTCATCCAGAAAGGCAGAGACAACTCAAAGCAAGCCTCCCTCCCCACCCTGAGGGACTTCTATGTCACAGGTGGATGAGACACAAATGGTTGCATTCCTTTGTGTTTCTCATAAGTCTTTCCAAAGAGGGCAATCGGAATATGCATCCATCTCTGTGAGCAGCAGGATGACTTTGAATAGAATGGGAGGCAGATTTGCCCTGAGAAGTTCCCAGCTTGAAAGGGCCCAAGACATTTTCCTTTCACAGTATCTTAGTCCATTTTGTGTTGCAATAAAGGAGTATCTGAAGTTGGGTAATTTATAAAGAAAAGAGGTTTATTTGGCTAATGGTTCTGCAGGCTGTACAAGACGCATGACACTGGCATCCATATGCTCAGCTGCTGGTGAGGGCTTCAGGCTGCTTCAACTTGTGGCAGAAGGCAAAGGGGAGCCAGTATGTGCAGAGATCACAAGGCAAGTAGGGGGAGTAGGGGGAGGTTCTAGGCTCTTTTTATCAACCAACTCTTGTGGGAACTAATAAGAGTGAGATTTCACCAACCCTCCCCACCAGGGAAGGCATTAAGGTATTCACATAGGATCCACCTCCATGACCCAAACACCTCCCATGAGGCCCCACCTCCAATCTCCAACTTATGAGGTTTGGGGAGACAAACATCCAAACTACAGCATTTTGCCCCTGGCCTTCCAAATGTCCTTCTCACTTTGCAAGATAAAATCATCCCTCTCCAATAGGCCTCCAAAGTCTTAACTTGTTCCAGCATCAACTCAAAAGCTCACGTTCCAAAGTCTCACCTGAGACTCAAGACAAGTTCCTTAGAGCTGTGAGCTGTAAAATCAAAAATAAGTTATTTGCTTTCAAAATACAATTATTGTACAGGCATTAGGTAAAGATTCTCATTCCAAGAGGGAGAGATGAGCCAAAAGAAAGGGATAACAGGCCCCACACAAGTCTGAAAATCAGTAGGGCTGACATTAAATCTTGAATCTCCAGAATAATCTACATTGACTACATGTCCCACATCCTGACACACTGGAAGAAGAGGTGGGCTCCCAAGGCTTAGGGCAGCCCTGACCCCATGGCTTTGCTGGGTGCAATCCCCCTGGCTGGCTGCTGTCATGGGTTGGAGTAGAATGCCTGTGGCTTTTCCAGCCTGAGGGTACACGGTGCCAGTAGCTCTACTATTCTGGGGTCTGGAAGGTGATGGTTCTCTTCCTGCAGCTATACTAGATGTGGTCCTAGTACAGGCTCTCAGTGGTGGCTATGCTTCTGCAGCAGGCTTTTGCCTGGGCACCACACATTCCCATACATCTTCTGAAATCTATGTGGAAGCCTCCAAGCTTTCACCACTCTTGCATTCTGGACATCTACAGACATAGCACGAGGTGTATGCTTCCAAGGCTTCCTGCTTACACACCCCAGAGTGGCAGCCTAAGCCATGCCTGGGGCTCTTTGAGCTACATCTGGAGCTGGAACAACAGGAGCTATCGGGGGAACCAGCCCCCAATATTTCAACGTAGGTTCTTTTCTATTTTCCCTAAGTGTCAGCTGGTCTGAGAAATAAAGAGAAAGAGTACAAAAGAGAGAAATTTTACAGCTGGGCCTCCAGGGGTAACATCACCTATTGGTAGGTTCTGTGATGCCCCCTGAGCCACAAAACCAGCAAGTTTTTATTAGGGATTTCAAAAGGGGAGGTAGGTACAAACAGGGAGTAAGTCACAAAGATCCCATGCTTGAACGGACAATACAAGATCACAAGGGCAGAGAGGCAGAGCAAGATCACAAGGCCAGGGCGAAATTAGAATTACTGATGAGGTTCCACGTCCTGCTGCGCACGCATTATCATTGATAAACATCTTAACAGGAAACGGGGTTCAAGAGCAGATGACCAGCCTGACTAGAATTCGCCAGGCTGGAATTTCCTAATCCTAGCAAGCCTGAGGGCATTGCAGCAGACCAGGGCTTATTTCATCCCTTGTCTTCAACCGCATAAGACAGACACTCCCAGAGTGTCCATTTAGAGGCCTCCCCCTGGGAATGCATTCTTTCCTAGGGTTATTCCTTACTGGGAAAAGAATTCAGAGATATTTCTCCTATTTGGTTTCTGCAAGAAGAGAAATGTGACTCTGTTCTGCCTGGCCCCATAGGCAGTCAGACCTTATGGTTATCTCCCTTGTTCCCTGAAAATCGCTGTTATCCTGTTCTTTTTTAGGATGCCCAGATTTCATATTGTTCACACATGTTTTACAAACAATTTGTGCAGTTAACGCAATCATCACAGGGTCCTGAGGCGACATACATCTTCAGCTTACGAAGATGATGGGATTAAGAGATTAAAGTAAAGACAGCCATAGGAAATTATAAGAGTATTGATTGAGGAAGTGATAAATGTCCATGAAATCTTCACAATTTATGTTCAGAGACTGCAGTAACGACAGGCATAAGAAATTATAAAAATATTAATTTGGGGAACTAATAAATGTCCATGAAATCTTCACAATTTATGTTCTTCTGCCACGGCTTCAGCCAGTCCCTCCGTTCAGGGTCCCTGACTTCCTGCAGCAGGGAGCAGTATCCCAGGGAGGCACAGGAAATTGGAACCCCAAACATGTCCCCAGAATCTATTCTGTCCTCCTAAGCCTCTGGGCTTGTGATGTGGGGGCAGCCTCAAAGATTTCTGAAAAGCCTTTTTGACCTTTTTTTCTATTGTTTGACTATTAGCACCTGACTCCCTTTAGTCACGTTCATCTCTTAGCAAGTGGTTTTACTGCAGTACCCTTGGATTTCTCTCCTTAAAATATTCTTCTCTACCGCATAGCCAGGCTGAAAATTTTCTAAATATTTACTCTCTGCTTCCTTTTTAATTATAAATTCCATCTTTAGGTCATTTCCTCGCTACCAAATCAGGTTGTAAGCAATTGAAAGCAGCCATGTCACTTCTTGAAGGCTTTGCACCTTAGAAATTTATTCTCTCAGATACCTTAGAACAGCATTCTTAAATTTGTCCTTTCATTAATCCCAAGGGCATAAATGCAATGCAGGAAAGTTCTTTGCTAAGGCTAATAAGGATGACCTTTGCTTTACTTTCCAGTAAGTTCCTCATTTCCATCTGAGGTGCCATCAGCATAACTTTTACTGTCTATATTTCTATCAGAATTTTCATCACAACCATTGTCTTAGTTCATTTGTGTTTCTATAAAGGAATACCTGAGGCTGGGTAATAAATTTTTTAAAGTTTATTTAGCTTATAGTTTTGTAGGCTGTACAAGAAGCATGGCAGTGGAATCTGCTTCTGACGAGGGCCTCAGGCTGTCTTCAATCACAGTGGAAGATGAAATGGAGCTGTTGTTTGCGGAGATCACATGGTGAGAGAGGAAGAATAAAAGCATGGAGATGCCAGGCCCTTTTCCACAACTGGCCCTCATGGGAACTAATAGAGTGAGAACTTATTAACTACTGCAAGAATGGCAGCAAGCAGTTCATAAAGGATTTACCCCCATGTCTCAAACACTTGCCAAAATGCTCCACCTCCAACAATGGGGACCAAATGTCAACATGAGGTTTGGAGAGGTGAAATCTCCAAACTATACCAACCACTTAATGAATCTCTAAGAAGTTTCCAACTTTCTCTTGCCTTATTGTGTTTTCTGAGTCCTCCAAAATCTTACAGCCTCTGCCCATCAACCCGTTCCAAAACCACTTCCACATTTTTAGGTATCTTTATAGCAACATCTCATTCCTTGGTACCAATTTTCTGTCTTTGCTTGTTTGTGTTGTTATAAAGGAATACCTGAAGCTGGGAAATTTATAAGGAAAGGGGTTTTGTATGGTACATTGTTCCACTGATTGTGCAAGAAGCACAGCACTAGCATCTGCATCTGGGGAGGGCCTCAGGCTGCTTCCACTCATGGCAGAAAGTGAAGGGAAGCCAACATGGGCAGAGATCACACACTGAGAGAGAAAGTAAGATGCAGTGAGGCCATGCCTTGCTCTTTCTAACAACCAGTTCTCATGGGCACTAATAGAGGGAGAACTCATTACCATGAGGACTGCACTGAGCCAGGCCAAGTCATTCCTGGGGTGTCCGCCCCAATGACTGAAACACCTCCCATTTGGCCCCACCTCCAACATCAGGATCAAATTTCAACATGAGATTTACGGAGACAAACATCCAAACTATAGCACTGGGTAACTGGGTGGCAAAGAGTGTGTATGATTGGAGTAGAATAATCAGGGGACTTAGGAGTATAGACCAACATTAGAAATCTGCTGCCATTTACTAACTGCCTGTCCTTTGACAGTAAGTTAACCAAGCTGCATGTCAGGATCTTCTGTGAAAAAAAGGAGTAATAGCTGCATCAGTTAAGGTTGCCCAGTAAAATGTTGGAGGTCCAGTTAAATTTAAAGTTCAAATAAAGAACAAATAACTTTTTCACATAAGTGTACTCCAATTGTTGCATGGGACATAATTATACAAAAATTTATTCATTGCTTTTGAAATCCAAATTTAACAGGGACATTGCCTTTCTGTTCGCTAAATCTGACAACCTTAGAGTTCATCAGGATAGGCTAGTTTAAGCCAAAGTAATATTTAGTTTTAGAATCTTGCTGGCAAATTCTATTAAACAATTTGTTGTTCATTAAGTGTCGTCCCCAGAAAAGCAGCATCTGTGTGTCCTAGAAACATCGGAAATGCAATTTTAGACCTACTGAATTAGAAACTATGGCTATAGAGCCAGGCAATTTGTTTTATCAAGCCCTCCAGGTGACTCTGATAGACTAAAGTTTGAAAACTACTGCACACATTTGCAGAACATCTAAAAGCTAAACATTTTTCTGTCCTGTAGCCCAACAATTTCATGACTAAGTATATACCAAGAGAAATGAGTGCATTATTCACTAAAATATATGAATGGAGTTTTCATAACAGCTTTATATACATCATGGCCCATGGCTGAAATAACCCAAATATACATCAACAGGAGAATAAATAAATTGTGGTACTTAGAACATGGCACAACCCTAAAAAGAACAAATTTTTTATATGTGAAACAATCTGGGTGAAAATTTACAGACAATATTTTGAGTAAAAGAAACACGACACAAAAGAATATGTATGTTCTATGTGATTTTATTTATATACAGTTCCCAGATCAGGTGAATCTAATCTATTTTAATAGAAATCAGAATAGTGTAACTGGGGTTGGGATGGGTGGCTGTATTGACTGGGAAGAGAAATGAAATCTTCCGAGGTGCTGGAAATGTTGTACATCTTCACCTGGTTATGGTTATACTGGTGTATTTAGATGTATACATTTATACATGTGTTCATTTAAGATTAATACACCTTATATATGTTATACCTCAAAAAGAGAAAAGAAAAAATAACTAATGAAACAAATCTCAGTGCCTAAAAGAATAAAAAAGTATGCCTCACTCCTACTACTTACTACTTTAAGCTTCCATCACCTAACCCGGGGCAATCATTTGTGTGGCCTTATCTATCTTTAAGTGGGAAAAGCAGTACATCCTTCATAGAGGGAGAAAGAGCAGAATAGTTATGAACTATCTTACTGACTCCAACACACCTACTTCTTGAAGTTCTATGTAATAGACATAGTCTCATTTATTCATCCTCTTTTTTTAAAAAAAACTTACACTATGAACAAAGCACTATGTTAGCCATGTGAGATTCAGTGATAAAATAAAATGGTGTTGCTCTTAGGGAGCTTATATTCAAAGAAGAAAGACATTAAAAGAGATTACATAAATAACTAGTTAGAATTATGATAGATCCAGTAGGATTTTGACCACTTGCCTTCATCATTTTCTTAAGGCATTGGTGCTGCCTGGGTACCTCTTTTGCAACCAGGCAACATCAGCCAAGATATGCATGACACAATCTGAAACATCCTTTCTCACCCTCTTCAACACCTCAGCAGCTACATGAGCCATCACCAGTTCATAAACGGGGTAAAAAGTAGAACTGTCCTAGCCAGTAGTTTAGTGGAAGACACTGAGATTCTAAACTGCATTAGAAGCTGAATGCAAAATTCAAAATATTTCAGCAGGCAAAAGAAAGTCAAACAGGGCTTAACATTCACTACTGGTCCTCTGAAAGCCCATGATACAACCAACTATTGCAGTTGATTGACTAAATTTGCAAGAGTAGAAGAAAGAGAAATGTGAAGGCAGAAAAGCAACAGCAACAATAAAAAGTATCAAAGGGTGAGAGCTATATGATAAAAATAACTAGAAGAATAGCCAAACATTTGGAAGAGAGGTTCTCTTACTTGGTCATCCATCAGAATTGCCTTGGGGACTGTTTACAAAGGTTGTCGGGCCCTACCCACAGAATTTCTGATTCAGTAGATCCAGAGAGGGGCCTAAGAATTTTCACCGCAATAATTCTCAGGTCATGCTGGTGTCGTTAGTCACCACACATTGAGACATTGCTGAACACACACTGAGAATTGCTGATCTAGAGGAAGGAAGGAAATGTAACACTGAACTGCTCTCACTTTCCTTCTATTTTGAACAAGCTGCTATTATTCTGAAACAGAAAACTTAGACGTTCTGCCTACTAATGCTATTATTTTTTCAAGTTCACCATTAAAATGTAGGGATGTGGTAACAGCTGTGAAACCTCTTGCACTACACTGGGTCTTCCTTGAGTCCACTACAAAGAAATAAATCAGTGACTCTTTTCTTCTTTATTCTTCAGTTGACCCTTGAACAAAGAAAGGGTTAAGGATGTGAAGTTCAGGCTCATCTCTGAGGTAAAAATCCAAGTATAACTTTTGACTCCCCAAAAACTTAACTACTAATAGCCTCCTTTGACTGGAAGCCTTACCAATAACATAAACAGTTAATTGACACGTGTATTGTGGGTTACACTTATTGTATACTATATTCTTACAAAAAAGTAAGCTAGAGAGAAGAGAAAAGAAAATATTACTAAGAAAATTATAAGAAAGAGAAAATATTCTTACTACACATTAAGTGGGAGTGAAACATCATAAAGGTCTTCATCCTCATCATCTTCATGTTGAGTGGGCTGAGAAGGAGGAGAGGAGGGGTTGGTCTTGCTGTCTCAAGGATGGCAGAGGCAGAGTAAAATCTACAAATAAGTGGACCCCTGTAGTTGAAATCTGTGTCATTCATGGGTCAACTCTGTGTGCGTGTGTGTGTGTGTGTATGTGTGTATTAATTCGGTTTAGACTACAAAGGGCAACCCGCTCTCCAGGAACCAAGACTGATGCTGGATGATGCCATATATACAAGATGGCATATAGGAGGTGATCATGGAGGACCTTCAGTAGCAGAGGCTAGGAACCACAGGGTTGAGGGGAGGAGGTAAGTGAAATAATGGGGCTAGGCTAGAATAGAAAGTAGTATCATAGCGTTCATTTTTATATTGCAAATATCTTTTCTCTGTGCCCTTATAAAATAATATTTAAATGTGTTTTTAATCAGTCCTAAGTAATTGGCAAATTATTACATCATCATCATAATCATATTTTCTCATTCATGGAAAAGATATTTACTGAGCCTTTAATGAATGCCAATCACTGTGCAGGTTTTAGAGATTCACTCGTGAATGAGGTAAATCTACTCCATGTACTTAACTGATAGAGATTTAAAACTATACTCATGTAACCATGTCATTCATTCCCCTGTCAGGACAACCCCGCTGCTTCCCATTTTCATTCCTCTACATTTAATTACAACCCGGTCTTCTACTCTAATCTCTCCCTGCGATCTTGATCTATGAGATACTTGCCCCTTCGTCATCGTTTCCCTTCTGTTGAAAGCAAACCTCCTCTCAATGCCTGTAAGCCCCATTCACCTTATCCATTCTATAAGGATCATTTCAGCCCTTATTTTTACTGAAGCCTCTTACCTCCACTTTAGTCCAAAGTCGGAACTCTTTCTAATTTTCTGTAGGACCTAATGTGCCCATTAGGCATTTAAATGTACACATTCAGTATTGAATTTTTATTGAGCCATGTTATGTGTAAGTAGTATTGTCCCTTTGCAATTTTCATCTATCAGAATTATGGATAAGATTTGCTGTCCCTTCATAAAATTGTGTTTCCATGGTAGTGTCATTTAAAGGTGAATCATTTTCTCATAGGAACTATGAGTGCAATTTGGTGGCTGCCTTTTAAAAAATAGGCTAATTCAGTCATTCTCAAATGCAGTCTTGATCAGAAATGATCCTTTCGGTTATTTGCTCAAGTGTGTGTGTGTGTTCAGGTCCCAACCCAAGACCAACTATCTCAGAATTTCCAGGTAATCTCAGAATTTTGAGATAACATGGCCTGAGGATCTATCTTTTAAACAAGTGCCTCCAGACAATCTTACGAAGAAGCAAGTTTGGGAACCTTCTGGCTGCACATTAAACTAAAAAACTGAAGGTTTTTTTTTTTTTAAATCAGTATCCTAGAATAATTAACTCAAAATCTCCAAAGGTGAGGTTTTCCTGGCATATTTTCTTTTCTATTTTTACATCTTTCTGTGACATTTATTTATTTATTTGTTTTAATTTATTTTTTATTTCAATAGGTTTTGGGGGAACAGGTAGTGTTTGGTTACATGAATAAGTTCTTTAGCGGTGATTTCTGAAATTTTGGTGCACCCATCACCCAAGCAGTGTATACTGTACCCAACATGTAGTCTTTTATCCCTCACCTGCTTCCCACCCTTTCCCCAAGTCCCCGAAGTCCATTGTCTCATTTTATGCCTTTGCTTCCTCATAGCTTAGCTCGCACTTTAAGAGTGAGAATGTACAATGTTTGGTTTTCCATTCCTGAGTTGCTTCGCTTAGAATAATAGTCTCCAATTCCATCCAGTTGCTGTGAATGCCATTATTTTGTTCCTTTTTATGGCTAAGTAGTGTTCGATAGTGTATATATATATGTGTGTGTGTATATATATACACATATATACACATATACACATATATACATATATATGTGCGTATATATACACATATATACGCACATATATATACATAAACATATATATTTTTTTATCCACTAGTTGATTGATGGGCATTTGGGCTGGTTCCACATTTTTACAATTGCAAATTGTGTTGCTATAAACATGCATGTGCAAGTATCTTTTTAATATAATGACCTCCTTCCTCTGGGTAGAAACTTTGACATGGGATTGCTGGATCAGACGGTGGATCTACTTTTGTTTCTTTAAGGAATCTCCACACCTTTTTTCACTGTAGTTGTACTATTCACTATACACTATTACAGTGTAGAGGTATTAACTTTTTACTGCATCCATGCCAACATCTATTATTTTTTGATTTTTTGATTATGGCCATTCTTGTAGGAGTGAGGTGTTATCACATTGTGATTTTGATTTGCATTTTCCTGATCATTAGTAATACTGAGCATTTTTACATATGCTTGTTGACCATTTGTATATCTTCTTTAAAGAATTGTCTATTCATGTCCTTAGCCCACTCTTTGGTGGGACTGTCTGGTTTTCTTCTTGCTGATTTGTTTGAGTTCTTTGTAGATTCTGGATATTAGTCCTTTGTCGGATGTATAGATTGTGAAGATTTTTTTCTCACTCTGTGGGTTGTCTGTGAACTCTACTGATTATTTCTTTTGCTGTGCAGAAGCTTTTTAGTTTAAGTTCCATCTATTTATCTTTGGTTTTGTTGCATTGGCTTTTGGGTTCCTGGTCATGAAGTCTTTGCCTAAGCCAATGTCTAGAAGGGTTTTCTGAAGTTATCTTCTAGGATCTTTATGGTTTCAGGTCTTAGATTTAGGTCTAATCCAACTTGAGTTGATTTTTGTATAAGGTGAGAGATGAGGATCCAGTTTCGTTCTCCTACATGTGACTTGCCAATCATCTCAGCACTATTTATTGAATATGGTGTCCTTTCCACACTTTGTTTTGTTTGCTTTGTTGAAAAAAAAGTTGCCTGTAAGTATTCGGCTTTATTTCTGAGTTCAGAAAGTGGGGGATGTGAAGGAGCAGGAAAGATCTGCAGGACTGTCATCAGGGCCAGACTCGCTGCCCAGTTCAATCCTCTGGAAGGCTGCACAGATCCCACCTGTTTACCCTTAAGGTTTCACGCCCTCTTGAACTCTCTCTTCAAAGTTCTTTCCAACTTTCTCTTGTGGCACTGGTTGACTATTGGTCTTGTGCCGGTCTTTAGCTTTAATTGGAGTTTACCACCAATTAACTGCACTGGGCTGCATTCCCAAGCAACCTGACTCCAGGAAGATCTGGGCTGGTTCACCTTTTATGGCCACACTACTCTGAACGTGCCCAATCTCTTCTGATCTCGGAAGCTAAGCAAGGTCGGGCCTGGCTAGTACTTGGATGGGAGACCTCTGCCATATTTTCTAAAAGCCGTCTTTGTTCCGAATGGGCAACTAAGTTAAGAACCACTGCATAGTGTAACTTATGAGCAAGATTGCTGAACAGTCAGTGAAAACAGGGAGTTTAGTACAAAGTCTCTTCATGTATATTTCCTCCATAGAAGATGTGGGAGAACCTTAAATTAAAAGAATACTCACCAACTGCCAATTCATTTCTTGTAAGTAACATATACACATTTCAGACAAATTGGAAAACTGAAAAGTATAGGAAAGTAAATAAAGTCACTCATTAAGTCAGCATTCCCCATGAGCACTGTAATCTATTTCATCCTAACCATTTTATCCACAGACTATATACACATCTCCCAACTGTCGGTTTGTAACAAAATTGGTTTTATTTTTGTGTACTATTTTAACATACCTCTTTCTACTAATATAGAATATGTATTTTACATGTTACTTTTTTCTAAAATATGATATTAAGGAATATCCATTATTAAATGGGTATAAAAATTGTTTAGCTAAAACCTATTTCTGTAGGTTTTTCCATTATAATTAATGCCACCATAAATATTGGTACATAGGGTTTTATATACGCCACTGGTCATTTTCCAGCATTATTGAAGAAGATAAATATAATAAAACATACAACTCTTTGTCAAGTAACCAGAAGTGGATTACTGAGTTAATAGATGATCAAATAATTTTTATTTTCTCTTCAGATATATAGTAGCAGCTTAGCAAAAATTCATGGAGATATCTTTTTCCATTGCTGTAATGAACACAATTTATTACAAATATATTTTAATTGGCTAATTTTCCAAGTGAAGGAGTTGTACTTAATTTATTTAATTTGTATGACTAAGAAGTGACATTTTTCCTTAGGCATTTGTCTAATTCTTCCTTTTGCAAATTGCCCATTTACACTTTGTCCCTTTTTTTTTTTTTTTTTTGGTCAGAGGAGACTTTTTGCCTCATTAATTTGTAGGAAATCCTTACTTAGTAAGTAATAGTAAGCTTCTTATCCCTTTTTTGCTCTCATCATCATCCTCCCACTTTTAAATCTTTTGTTATTTTTTAAACTTTAATCAAAGTTATTAGTCCTTGGGGAGAGATTTCTAGCTTTTGATATTATATTTGCTTTTCTTAATCCAAATTCAGATATTTATTAATTCATTTACTTTCTAACTTTCCTGTCACTTCATATGTATATTTCCCATACTTATGAGTGTGTATACAGAAATACATATGTGTGTGCTTTTAATTATTCTAGAATGTATTGCAATAGATAAATGTCTACTGTATACTATATTCTTAGAAAAAAAGCTAGAGAAAAGAAAACATTATTAAGACAGTTATAAGAAGAAGAAAATATTCTTACTAGTCATTAAGTGGAAGTGGAACATCATTAAGATCTTCATCCTCATCATCTTCATGATGAGTGGGCTGAGGAGGAGGAGGAAGAGCAGGTGTTGAAAGGGGGGGGTGGTTAGGCATCCTCTTGTTCATTTTTAGAAATATTCATTTCCCTCAGTGCTATTTACAAAATAATTTCAACTATTTCGCTAAGTTGTGTACTGCCTTTATTATATACTAAATTTTTTAAATTCTTTTTTCCTCCATTTACTATCTTGTTTTATTGACCTGTCTTATCCTGACACCTGTTTCACATTGTTTAAATTATTGTGACTACCTTAATAGATATGACTATCGGGATGCACAAAACCTACCTACTTTTGCTTTTATAATAAATTTAAGCAATTTTGTGTCAAACTTAAGATATGACTTAAAGATAATGAAAGAAAAACCCAAGATATAGTTAAAATCTGTCAATTTTAATTGATATCACCAATATTTAACTGAAATTCTCCTCTTAATTTTTAAGAAACTTACTTCACTTTTGTCCATTCATGTTGTATAAACACCTTAGAACTTGTGTTCACATGTCTTTGGATAATTTCTGTGATTTCATTCATTTCTCACCCTGTCTGCTTAGAGGGTGGCTGTGGACTTTACAAAATACTTTTATTTACAGCTATGGCTCATACCAAATATGTTTTAGTGAAATAAATATTTGATTTCAGTTTGTATATCTTATATAAAAATATAATCCATACCAAAATTTTCTAGAACACATTTATTGCACAATTGAAGCCTGTTAGTCTACAGTGGATCATGAAATACAGGCCTATAATAATCTAATTGCTATCCATAGTAAGAGACTCTTCTCTGGTCTCTTGCAGTGTGTGCTTATCTACCTTGTTTATGTATTCTGCCAACTTCTTTAAGTCTGTATTTTAATCCCTAGCAGTTGGGTAAACATTCATAACGTGTGTGTAACAATTATTTCTGAACTGCTCTCCTTTCAAAAGCATTGATAATCGAAGGTTAATGCACAATCGAATTTTTTCCTTCCTGGATCAAGCCTATAACTGTAACACTGTGAAACTCTCAGAAATTGCTCTATTACACCAAGAAGCTTACACTGCTCTTTGACACACAACACTTTGGATGGTCTGACTATCTTGTTATGTTCCGATTGCTACAGTAATCAGTTAGAGGCCAGACACATGTTTTATTATAAGAGCAAACAGAGTGTATCTGCTCTAGGGATCAGAGAGAGAGAAAGATACCAGATTTGACAGCAGCAGACTTCTAAAAACAGACTGACCTGAAATATAAATTTCTGGAGCTAGAGTAGTTAGTGTTGTGACAATCAGTTTACATCTAAATAACAGAATCTACACCAGAGACCACTCAGCAAAAAAAAAAAAAAAATGGTGTTTTAATAAGATTCTTGCGGGTTTGCATTTCTTCAGCCAATACACAGCATAGCAAACCCCAGATCAAGATATGAAACTTTGTCTTTACCTTGTGTTGAGAGAATATCACTTAGGTGGAAAAGAAATGAAAACGTCAGGCTTTGATAATATAGCATTAAATGATAAACTGTACTGCCGAGAAAGCAAAGCCATTATGTTAACAGAATTGTGCATTACTATGACTTGTGTTTACTCCTGTGCTGCACACATTTTATCCTGCCTGTGAATTCTACTCTCTGGCCTCTTAAAAAGATTAAAAGCTGTAATTTTTTCTTGAATATATCTCCTAAGTCACTAATTACATTCCCTAGACTCTTACATCCTTATTCATGTGACCATTTCTTGTATTTTACAATGGGACTATTGTCAGCTTAACAATCTAGCTGTAATACCCAGGGAAGGCCACACACTCTCAATGCTAAATCACATTACCGAATACTTTTTTCTTAGAACTTGTTTTATCGACCACTTGAGAAGGTTTAATTGTAAAAGTGCTAAATGAGAATCGAAAGAATTTGTTCTTTTTTCTTAATTTGAAGTTGCTTTGCTTAAACATGTAATGATGCCTGTGATATGCATGGCATCAAAATAATGCATAGACACTATTCAAATCTCTGAGTGACATGTGTCTTAGGTACCAATCTTGTTGTCAAATGTTCACTCCCAGGGTATTTGCTGAAAGGCTTGGATTTCATTTAGGGACTCAGTTCCTGTTTTCTTCTTCTCAATTGGATACCATTCAGTTCTAAAATCTAAAGATCAAACAGTTACCCAGAGGAGCTTCTCCATGAACAATCACTCTTTATTCCATAAATGATCCAGATGTTCCCAGGAAATTAGTTATTCCTTGGATATTACAAGTTAAGTGAAAGATTATTTTCTAGGTATTACACTATTGGGGATACATTGCTAATAAGCATAATAATATTATTTAAAATATCTGGAGGATTTAATGATCTCCAGTTCATTTTAAATTTTTATATGCAGGAATAATATAGTTCAGTGATCCTGAAAGTTGCCGTATTGCAACAGATGTTAAATTGTTGAGATTAATTCAATGTCATGAAAATATGCTCTTAGCAGAAAACAATTAGCTGCCATTCACTTACCATCTATACCAGGTAATAGACTCAGTGTTGACAAGCAATCAAAAAGGCACATTCCTAGTTGCTATTATGAGGCTTGTATTCATTCTGTCACACCTGTGATGATCTCTATAGGGGTGCTGAGAAACATGAGGACGTGGTAAAATTTCAGAACTATGTATTCAGAAAGGCTTTGGGAAAAACATGAAATCAATATGGAGACTATGATAAATGTAGCTCATATGACCTCTGTTCTGAACATTTTGTCAGATCAAAAAGTATGATATGTTGGCCGGGTGCGGTGGCTCATGCCTGTAATCCCAGCATTTTGGGAGGCTGAGGCGGTCAGATCATGAGGTCAGGAGATCGAGACCATCCTGGGTAACACGGTAAAACCCCATCTCTACTAAAAATACAAAAAATTAGCCAGGCGCGGTGGTGGGTGCCTATAGTCCCAGCTACTCGGGAGACTAAAGCAGGAGAATGGCGTGAACCCGGCAGGTGGAGCTAGCAGGGAGCCAAGATGGTGCCACTGCACTCCAGCCTGGGTGACAGGGAGAGATTCTGTCTCAAAAAAAAAAATGTGTATATATATACATATATATATATATATATATATACACACACATATATATATACGTATATATACATATATATATACATATATATACACACACATATATATATATACACACACACACATATATATATATATATATATGATATCTTGATATCTGTATCCCATCATTAAATATTTTGGCCAATTCAATTGGTTCATTCCGCATGGGAAGGATGGTTGAAAGATTGTGGCCAGGAAGAATAAGTCAATCTGTCTTTTGATTACATAGATTAGCCATTTTTTTTTCAAAATTGTTGTTTCAGTAGTCGGAATCCCTGGTGCAGCTACTCTAAGATCTGTTCCTATATGCATTATTATCTGCAAACATTCCTACATTAATTGACTTGCCCCTCAGTCAACTTCAACATCCATTGCTCTTATTATTGCCTTTTACTATAAATATATTAGTGACCATTATACCTTGCTCAGTGTAACAGAAATTATATATGCTAAAGAACAAAGTTTTTATGAGCAATTACTTAGAAACACCTTAGTAAGTCATGTTTTCTAAAAATTAGGAAGATAACTGAATTAGAGTGAAATAATTATTGTCTTTCACTCTTTGTAAAAATGAACTGTTTTTCTTTTGTTTATTATGCTTTAAGTTCTGGAGTACACCTGCGGAACATGCAGGTTTCTTACATAGGTATACGTGTGCCATGGTGGTTTGCTGCACCCATCAACCCATCACCTACATTGGATATTTCTCCTAATGCTATCCCTCCTCTAGCCCTCCACCCCCCAGCAGGCCCAGGTGTGTGATGTTCCCCTCCCTGTGTCCATGTGTTCTCATTGTTCAGCTCTCACTTACAGGTGAGAACATGCGGTGTTTGGTTTTCTGTTCTTGTGTTAGTTTGCTGAGAATGATGGTTTCCAGCTTCATCCATGTCCCTGCAAAGGACACGAACTCATCCGTTTTTATGTCTGCATGGTATTCCATGTCGTATATGTGCCACAGTTTTTTTTTCTTTGAGACGGAATCTTGCTCTGTCACCCAGGCTGGAGTGCAATGGTGCTATCTCTGCTCACTACAACCTCTGCCTCCCAGGTTCAAGTGATTCTCCTGCATCAGCCTCCTGAGTAGCTGGGATTACAGGTGTGTGCCACCACGCCCAGCTAATTTTTATATTCTTAGTAGAGATAGGGTTTCACCATGTTGGTCAGGCTGGTCTTGAACTCCTGACCTCATGATCCACCTGCCTCGGCCTCCCAAAGTGTTGGGATTACAGGTGTGAGCCACCATACCCGGCCATGTGCCACATTTTCTTTATCCAGTCTATCATTGATGGTCATTTGGGTTGGTTCCAAGTCTTTGCTATTGTGAATAGTGCTGCAATAAGCATACACCTGCACGTGTCTTTATAGTAAAATGATTTATAATCCTTTGGGTATACTGTTTTTCTGATTATAATTTAAGTCACAAATATTATAGAAAATACAGAAGTTATAAAAGTATTTTAAAAATCAGCCATCACTCTAAAGAAAACCATCATTAAGATGTTAACATATTTCTTTTCATTGTTTTTAAAAATTGTTGAGACTATAATATATGAACAACTGCCTCACTGCAGTTACATAAAACTTTATAGCACCGTGTTTTCTTAGGTTGTTATTATCCGACTTTCAACATAAGATGTTATGGCTGCACAGTGTCCCATTGTGTTAGTATGTGGTAATTTAGTTAGCTTGGTTTTTTATCTTTTTTGCTATCATAATATAATTCTATGTTAAATATCTTAGGGTAATTTTTTAAAAGTTCAATTTCTTTATGTGTAATAGTTTTTCAGGAGTAGGATACTTTGAATTTGTGCATTAAACATATTCTTGAACCAAGACTGAAAATGTTCTTTCCCTGGGTATGCACATTTAAAGTAGATATTTCCTTGATGTTGCAAATAATGTAATTTATAGACATATTTCACATTTATAGACCCTACACTATTAATAATATGATTCATTATTACAACAGTAGTGTATATAGATTCCAAATCCATTTCAACCTTTACCAGCTTTGGATAACTGGTCTAATTTTACAGGAGAAAAATGGTGCATTTCATAAGCATTTCTTTTCTCTGATACTAGTGAATTTGATTCATGCAGTTGTTTGTTAAACATCCACCTTTCATATCTTTAAATCAGTTATTTGTTTTCCATCCTCTACATTTTGGGCATTCCTTCCCTTAATAAGTTTTGTGAATTATATTTTTTCTTATCCAAACATTGAAAATATATGGTCATCATACTTTTAATCAGGCATCATTTGTTTTACTAAAGGAAACTTTCTTGAGCCTTAGGACAGTGTTAAAGACTTTTCTGTTTCTATAGGAACCATATAACGTAACAATGACTATCACTGAATGAGCGCTAAGGTTTTTACATTAGGCATTTTACATACACTATCTTTTTAAGTCCTCAAAACAGCACTACAAAATAAATATTGAGGTTGAAGGACGTTTAATAGCTACAGGATTTTTTTTGTTAGACTTGATTTTTTAAATATTCTTATCCAGTTTCATAATCAGGAGTTTTTGCAATGACTTAGGTGAATTTAAAAATGTCCCCAAGAATAGACATAAGTTGCTAGAACAAAACAGCTTAGAAATAGATCCACACAAGTATAATCAACTGCTCTTTGAAAAAGGAGCAAAGATGTTGCTGCAATGGAGAAAAGGTTAGTCTCTTCAACAAATGATATTGGAGAACTTGAGTGTCCATATGCAAAAACCAGAACAAAAGCATAAAACAAAACACCTAGACACCAATTCAAAATAAATTGTATACCTACAGGTTACACGTAAAATGCAAAACCAAAAAATTCCTAGAAAAGCGTGAAGCAGAAAATCTATGTAAATTTGTGTTTGGTGGTGATATTTTAGATACAATACTAAAAGCATAATCTGTAACAAATTGATACGTTGCATTTTATTAAAAGTAAAAGCTTCTGCTCTCTGGAAGATAATGTTAAGAGAACGACTAGACAAGCTACAGACTGGAAGAAAATATTTGTAAAGTATGTATCTGATAAGGGATTGTATGCAAAATATACAAAGAAATCCTACAATTCAACAATAAGGAAACAATCAATTTTTTTAAATGGGCAAAAGATCTGAACAGACATCTCACCAATGAAAGTACACAGAGGGCAGGTAAGCATATGAAGACTCTCAACATCATTTTATTGGAAAATTGCAAATTAAAACATTTGTAGCTTCGGCCGGGCATGGTGGCTCAATCCTGTAATCCCAGCACTTTGGGAGGCCGAGGCGGGTGGATCACCTGAGGTAAGGAGTTAGAGACCAGCCTGGCCAACATGGCAAAACCCTATCTCTACTAAAAATACAAAAAATTAGCTGGGCATGGCGGCGGACACCTGTAATCCCAGCTACTTGGGAGGCTTAGGTGGGAGAATCGCTTGAACCCAGGAGGCAGAGATTACAGTGAGCCGAGATCCCACCATTGCACTCCAGCCTGGGCAACACGAGGGAAACTCTGTCTCAAAAAGCAAAAACAAAAACAAACACCATTTGTAGCCTCACAGTGGAGAAACCTCATAAACATTAACTTAGCCAGGTAAACAAGATCATAATCAATAGTAATGTCATATTGATAACATGTACTCTAAGCCAAGTCCAAACATGAGAAAATATCAGGTAAATCCCAGATGATGACATTCTACAAAACACCTGACCAGTACCACTCAAAATTGTCAAGGCCATCAAAAACAAGGCGTCTGAAAAACTGTCAGCCAAGAAGAACCTGAAAAGACATGTCAACTAAATGTAATGTTGAACACTGAATGGATCTTGGTACAGAAGAAAGAACTTAGGTATAAAACTAAGAAAATCAGCGTAAAGTATGGACTTTGCTAAACAATAGCCTATTGATATTATTAATTGTAGCAAATGTACCATATTAATGTTAAATGCTAATGATAGGGGAAAGTGGGTGTGGACTATATGGGAATTCTATATAGTATCTTCACAATTTTTCTTTAAATTTAACACTATTCTTTAAAAAGTTTTTTTAAAGGAGGATCTAATGGATATGGAGTTTTAGTTTTGTAAGATGAAAAGTTCTAGACCTGTTTTACAATGTGAAAATATGTAACACTACTAATTTATACACTGAACAAATAGTTAAGATGGTAAATTTTCTGTTTTCTTCCACAATTAAAACTAAAAATAAAATATTTTAAAAGTCTCTAAAAAACAAGTAAATAAAAATATCCCCTATTCATGTAATGTTTCTCTTTTATACTGTTAATGCAGTGAATTATGTTTTCTGAGTTTTTGTGTAAAACCAATCTTGAATCCTAGCATAAATCCATGTTTTATTATCCTTTTTATACATCAATAGATTTTTCTTGTTTATATTTCATTTAGGATTTTTTTTGTTCCTATCTTAATGAAACATAGGGAATTTTCTTCTTATTTCTCGGAAGGTTCTTGTCAAAGGTTTGTATCAGGATTATTCTAGCCTCATAGAATGTATTGGGATGTGTTCCTTTCTTTCTTTTTTGCTGTAAGGGTTATATAGAATTGGCATTATTCTTCCTTTAAATATTTGGATTATTTTTCCAACGAAGACATGAGTTTGTAGTTTTATTTCTGGGAAGAATGTTAAATGTACATTAAATTTCATAAACATATCTAGAAATATTTACATGTTCCATTTCTCCTTATGCCAGTTTGGTTAAGTGGTACTTTCAAGAAATATGAACATTTCATCTAAACGTTCAAACGTATTGCATGGTTTTTATCTGTTTGTTTAACCACTTAAACCTAGAGAGCTGTGTCAAAATATTCAAGTGAATTTTTTTTTTAGTTCTGTGTCCTTTTTAGTTGATCATTTGCTGCTTCATATATTTTGAGGCTAATCAGCAACCTGCGTATCTGACCTGGATTGGTGATTGTTGTTCCTTTATGTTAGCTTTATTTATCAAAATATAATGTCCACTTTGATAACACAAATTTTAATTTTTTTTTCTGGTAAGCACAATAATCTAACATTATTTTCCATATTGGCCTAATACACAATTTTTTCCATCGATGAATCTCTTGGTGTTTTTTTTTTAATTGATCATTTATAAAATTATTTGAGAGTCAATTTTTTTATGTGAATTTGAGTTTCAGGTCGGTCATAATTGCATAGTCATATTTATTACTACTAGTTTATTTCCCTCAAATAAAATAAGTTCCGTCATATTGGTCACTACCTATTCTCCATCCTCATTCCAAAACAAGATTTGTTGAAAATCTCTTGTCATTGTTTTGGTTAACATTACAATTTCAAAAGTTAATAATTTTTTATATTCCTCATATTTCTTTGTTTTTAACTGTAGTGATTTCTGATAAAAGGCCTTTCAAAGAGGGCTTTAGTTAGATGACATTTCTGAGTCTGAGTTAACTCTAAAAACATACTTATGTTTTTAAATAATTTTGATAGATACACATTTTAAGTTCAAAGTGTGCTTTTTTTCCTGGACATGTACTTCTTGTTTGTGACTGTGAAGCTCTTTTCCTCAGGAAGCTTTTTGAATTTTCCTTTGGCTTTTTGTGTTATTGAATGTAATTTGATATGTTCATAAGTCTCCCCTCCCCACCTTATCTTTTTGTTTCTGTATACTCTGAATCATTTTAATCTAAGATCTTATAGCTCTCTTTAGTTTTAAAAAATTATTGGTCATTAATCCTTCAAATATTCTTCTCTTTATATATTTTTCCCTCCTGGACTATTATTAATTCAATACTGACATTTCTATATATATATTCTCTACATCTCTTACCTTATGTTTCTTCTATTCTTTTTATTTCCTTATCCCTTCCAGTTGCATTCTGGGAGCGTGCTTTGACTTAATTGTTCAGCTCACTCGTTTGTTCTTTAGTTGAATTCATTTGACAGTTCAATCCTTCAATTAGTTAATTAATTTAATTTTTAATGCTTTATACCCAATGTTTCTATTTGTTTTTTCTTTAGAAATTCTCATTTTTACTTGACATTTCCAATATTATTTCTTATCTCTACAAAGATAATTATTATTCCTCTTTAAAATTTTATATTTTCCTGCATCTTATTTTACCCTTATATAGTTTGTCTTAAAAATCCTGCTCATCAGCTGTCTTGAATTGTTGTCCTATGGTTCATTGTCTCTGGGAGGTCACAGTCACTTATACTCCTCTCAATCTGGGAAAATGTGAAAAATTCAGACCTTATTTTTTTCCCTTTTTATAATTTTAAATAATTAAACATTTCAAAACAAAAATCTAAAATATCAAAATGTAGACTGAACCACTTCTGTTTGTCTGCCTCATACCACTGACCATCCTTCTTCCTCAGGGATCTTGCTTGTTTTTTGTTACTATCTTGTCAAGTACCACCATTCTTTCTGAGGAAGGAGAGAGTATATTAGTCTGTTTTCACATTGCTATAAAGAACTACCTGAGACTGGGTAATTTAGAAAGAAAAGAGGTTTAACTGACTGACAGTTCTGTGTGGCCGAGGAGGCTTCAGGAAACTTACATTCGTGGTTAAAAGCAAAGGAGAAGCAAGCACCTCCTTCACAAGGCAGCAGAAGAGAGAGAACCAACAAAGGGGGTAGTGAGACACTTTGTTTTTTTTTTTTGAGAGGGAGTCTTGCTCTGTCGCCCAGGCTGGAGTACAGTGGCACAATCTCAGCTCACTTCAACCTCCGCCTCCCGGGTTCAAGTGATTCTCCTGCCTCAGCCTACTGAGTAGCTGGAAGTACAGGTGTGTGCCACCACACCCGGCTAATTTTTGTATTTTTAGTAGAGACGGGGTTTCACCATGTTGCCCAGGATGGTCTCCATCTCCTGACCTTGTGATGCACCCGCCTCGGCCTCCCAAAATGCTGGGATTACAGGTGTGAGCCACCGCGCCTGGCCCAGTAAGACACTTTTAAACCATCAAGTCTCCTGAGAACTCATTCATTATTAGGAGAACAGCATGGGGGAAGCACCTCCATAATCCAGTCACCTCCCAGCAGGTCCCTCCCCTGACCCATGGGGATTACAATTCGAGATGAGATTTGGATGGGGACACGGAGCCAAACCATATCAGAGAGTATTGCTGGAAGCCACTAGTACCTATTGTTAACCACTTTCTACCCCAGCTATTATTAGCTAGGCTGTAAGACTTCTCAAACTTGAGTGTTTTTCAGAAGTACTTGGCTAGCTTATTAAAACACAGATTGTTTGGCTTCATCCTCAGAGATTTTGATTCATTAGGGCCTGAGTGGTGGGCCCCAAGGGTTTGCACTTGACATGGACCCAGATGTTGCAATGCTGGGTCTGAGTCTGGAATCACATAGAGAATGTTCACATTTATTACCCCAAATTCTCTGTCTTGGGTTGGGTTAGCCCTGCTGTTGTTGCTTCTGTTTGGTCTCTCTCAGTGCTGATGATTGAAAGAGGCATCACTTCACCCAGTACAATGGGGTCTGATGGGGAGGGAGGAAACAATGTGAGAATTCTTCCCCAGCCTCAACTCTTAGCTGCTAGAGCTCTTTCTGCCATGCTGGCATTCTATAATCTTTCCAAGGGTTTTCACAGTTTTAATTTAGTAACTAGAACCCATCAAATTCCTTGTTTCTCTGTGGCATCTCCTTTAAGATAGAATCCAGAGTAGAAAGCCACCAACCTATGTTGGTTCATCATCTTTTCAGAAATTTGAAGTCTAATGTGACTTAAAAAAATTCTTAAAAAAACTGTTGAATAATATGATTTTCATATAGCTATATGCCAATTACTTTGATAACTTCTTGTGTTTAAGATTATCTTTCCTAACTAGCTATAACTATAGTAATGTAATGCAAGCCTATCTTGTCTAAACTCAGACAATGTATTTCAGTGATATGTTTTCCTTTATCATCTTTAGAAGCTTTTTTTTGTCATTAATGTCAAATTGCCAAGACAACTACCCTATGTGGGTAAAAAATAATGAGACCACACCTTGCTTTTTTTTTTTTTTTTTTTTTGAGAGGGAGTCTTGCTCTGTCCCCAGACTGGAGTGCAGTGGCGCGATCTTGGCTCACTGCAAGCTCCGCCTCCTGGGTTCATGCCATTCTCCTGCCTCAGCCTCCTGAGTAGCTGGGACTACAGGTTCCCGCCACCACGCCCCGGTAATTTTTTTATTTTTTTTTTGTATTTTTAGTACAGATGGGTTTTCACGGTGTTAGCAGGATGGTCTCGATCTCCTGACCTGTGATCTGCCCTCCTTGGTCTCTCAAGATTTTTTTTTTAATACAACATCTTGAATACCTTTTAGATTCTAATAGCTGTACAACTTAGAACACCTTTGGGTTTTCTATCTTCACAGTGTACTTATAGGACCCTATCTTGTTATTTAGGTTTTAAAGGGACTGTATTAACAGAAGAAAGATATGTGTCTCCAGAGCATGAATGATTTTGTCAAATCCAGAACAGGGTTTCAAACACTGAAAAATGTCAGATTATTTTCAAACACTAGAAAATAAATGATATGGAAAAACAATATATGACAATGAGGCAGATAAGTGTTCATTTCTGGTAATGAGGGCCCCTGGACCACTTATTTGGTAGGTTGGCCTAACATTTACATTTATGTCAATTCTTTGGACTATAAGGAAAGCATCTCTTATGGGGATGACAATAGCAAGATACAGCGCTACAATGAAATCTAATTGTTATTCACTATTGCACTGGAATGTCAATGAGGGGATGCATTGTTCAAAAGCTGGCATTGGTAAAGTTATTAAATTGATTGGTTCATGAAGGAATATAGTACATTAGTGAGCTACTCATCTGTGACCGAGAGTATGTATTAGAAAGCGTGCCTTCATAAGTTTCCAACATCATAAATCAAGGCAAGATTTAGTACACAACACTGGCAGGAAGCGGCAATCATATATTTTACAAGGCTCAGCTCAAGAAAGCTCAACCTTCAGTCATATTTGGGTCAGTATTTTATATTTATAATTTGCTCCATACTATTGTCATGTTTATTATATTTGGTTCTTGTACAAGGAATTTATAATATGAATATGATTAGAACTGAGCGACAAAAAGACAATCCCTGCAGATTTCTATTGAGTTTCCTCTATGCTTGGTAAATAAAGTGTATTTTTTTGACTTTTAATTATATATGTTTAAAAAGTGATTGTAACCAATTTTGCATTCATTCCCACGTTGCTTCCATAAGTAATTATTCTAAGTTATTAGATATAAATCTAAATATTGTAAAACACCCTAAAGCTAGAGTGAAAAAGAAGGTTTTTTAATAAGAAGAACAGATATTTTTAAGCAGTAAAATTAGAATTTTATTTTCACATTTATACTATTCTAGCCCGAATATCTGCTTCTTTTATCAAATCTTATCTGGTCTTTCTTATCTGAATGAATATCACTTCTCTGGATTTTATTACTTTGTTTTAAATGTTTTAGCACTCTTAACTAATTTCACCTCATATTAGAGTTTTACACATATCCACTTCCTCTACCTATTCTGTCTACCTATTGACAACAAAAAGCATATCTGGTTAATTAAAATACTTCCTTTTCTTTCCCCTAATACACTTACAGTCATTTACGAGTTTAATATATCTTGTGAATAAATTAATATTTATCTGATGTCAAATATAAGAATTCATAAAACATCAAACAAATGTTTTGGCTTAACAATAATTATTACATAAGTACTATATTTTATAAATAGTAACTAATATAAGTAGTTTACACATATAATTTCGGTGCTAGAATTCAGTATATAATTTTATTAGTTACCAAACTAACATATTAAAATCTCATATTAAAATCTCAGAAGATACTTTTAGTGTTATAAAATAATCTAAGTAATTAATAAATGTGTATTGTGTATGATAAAGTTTCCATGCATAAGTTTACAAATACAAGTGCTTATATATAAATTATATTATTAATGATATATATATGCAAATAAATTCTGGAAATACATTTACATAAAATGTATACACACGAAATCAACCTTCTTATATTCAACAATGCTTTCCCATGCAAACAAATGTAAAAACACCTGTAAACATTCCTATATTGTTTCTCTGATAAAACATTAACATGTTAGATACAGTATGATGTGTTAGGATGTGCAGTAGCCACGTGGATTGATAGTTGGGTTCTAGACTCAGCAACACCAAGAGCCACCACTCGTCATTTAGGAAATAGCCTAACTTCTCTGGTCTTTTCTAAGCTGCCTTGTAAAATGAGTGTATGAAACTTCGATCTCTAAAATATCTATGCCAAATAGAAAAATCTGGCCCTAAATATAGTCCTAAGGCTACCATATTTTTAGCAGTATTAAGAGCTCCTGGTGTCTGTCTGTGTATAGACATTAGTGTGAATACAACATGTGTTGGGGAAGGGTGAGATGGAAAAAATACACACAAGATATACTCTATCAGGAGGAGGTAAAATTTGGCCAGTGTAGGTCTAGGTACACAGTAGTTGATGAGCAAACAGTTAGGACATGCCTAGAGTTCTTTAAATTTGCTAGTCAGCCACAGCCATGTGAGGAGGAGTTGTCATTAAACAGAGAATTAAAGGATAGAAGAGCCAATTCTGTCCATTAGATATAGCCTTTCTGGCAAATGAAACAAAAACTGCAAGTGTGTAAGGCCAAACAGAGCTTGCTATTCTCTTTTGAGGCTTTTTTTTTTTCTGGATGTTGTTAATTTGTCCTATGTGTCTGTAAATCATTAGGAGAGAATGTGTCAGTACCCAGTAATCCAAAAATCTTTTGTAAATACCATTAAAATATTAAATAATATATGCTTTAAAATCCTTCAAAAGTTTAAAAAAATCTAATTTTATTTTACATAATCAAATAATAGAATCAGAGAACTGAAGGGCATCTTTATAAATGTAGCCCAGTGGTTTTCAAATTCTGCGCTATAGAACCATTAGGCTCAGTTTAGCAATCCCATAAGGCACTTAGTTAAAATTACGTTAATAAAGTCTATCTTTTTTATTATTTTTGAAGTTGTAATTTTAAATGGGAACAACTTCAAATGTCCTATAAACCAAAGTATTAATTAACTGGATACCATTAATATAACTTCTGCTTCAAATCTGACTTTTTGTTTTCTGAGTCTGAGGACTATGGAATAGTTTTTCTTGCTCTCACATGTGTATGTGTGTGTGTGCGTGTGTGTGTGTACATGAACATGTATGTCATGTGTACTAAATGATTATTTATTAAGGTTGTAACTCAGTATTGTTATTATTCTGAGCGAAGGTCTCCACGTGCCTACTCCCATTAACTTATAAAGATGAGTATCCTGTTACAGCATGTGCATGTCATATGTAATTGAATTTTATCTAAAGTTAGGACACATATTTCTTGCTATGTGCTATAATTATGGTCAATAATAGATTGTTCAACAACAAGAAAATAAAAAATATTTTCTTAATGGTACCGTATTATGAATGTTCTAATTTTTAAAACTACTGATTATTTAATGTTTTGTTTGTTATTTATTATACTTTGATTCAAATTTTGAGTTTATAATAAATACTGTGATTAGTGTTTGAAATTTTGAAGCAACAATTGCTTCAAATTTTTAGAATCATTTTGGTGAAAAGTTATGCTACATATAAAATTGCTTAAATTATTCACAGTTACTTATTTGCATGGGTCAAGACTTCTTGGAATTGTTCAACCAAAACAAAATGTAGAAATAAAATAATTCTGCCCCAGAAAAACCAATGAGTTAAAGATGAGATTAAGAAGTCCTTTTTTTTTTTTTTTTTTGATACAGAGTCTCACTCTGTAGCCCAGGCTGGAGGGCAGTGGTGCTATCTCGGCTCACTGCAAGCTCCGCCTCCCAGGTTCTTGCCATTCTCCTGCCTCAGCCTCCTGAGTAGCTGGGACTACAGGCGCCCGCCACCACCCCCGGCTAACTTTTTTTGTATTTTTTAGTAGAGACAGGGTTTCACCGTGTTAGCCAGGATGGTCTTGATCTCCTGACCTCATGATCCACCCACCTCGGCCTCCCAAAGTGCTGGGATTACAGGCATGAGCCACAGCGCCCGGCCAAGAAGGGCATTTTTTAAATAACTTAAGACAAATGAAAATGGAAACACCACAGACAAAAACTTATGGCATGGAGCAACAGCAATTCTAATAGGGAAGTTTTTAAGTAAGTAAATCAAAAAAGAAGAAAGATCCCAAATAAACAACCTAACATTACACCTCTAGGAACTGGAAAAAAAAGAATAAACCAATCCCAGAGTCAGTAGAAGGAAGAAAATAATAAAGATAAGAGCAGTAATAAATGAAATGGAGACTAGAAAGACAAAGGAAAAGAACAATGAAACTAAGTGTTTGTTGTCTGAAAAGATAAACCAAGTTGATATACCTTTAGCCAGACTAAGAAAAAAATATAGAGAGAGAAAGGACTGAAATAAATAAAATTATAAGTGAGAAAGGAGATACTACAGCTGAAACCACAGAAATACAAATAGCTATGAGAGACTACTGTGAACAAATACATGCCAACAAATTTGATTACCCAGAAGAAATAGATATATTTCTGGAAATGTATAAACTACAAAGATCAAATCATGAAGAAATAGAAAATCTGAACAAACCCATAGCAAGGAGGTTGAATAAATAATAATCAAATGTCCATCAAAGAAAAGCCCCGAAACAAATGGCTTTGTTACAGGAATAGGGTTCCAATCCAGACCTCAAGAGAGGATTCTTGGACCTTGCATAAGAAAGAATTAAGAAAGTAAAGGAATAACAGAATGGCTAATCCATAGACAGAGAAGCCCCGAGGGCTGCTGGTTGCCCATTTTTATGGTTATTTCTTGATGTATGCTAAACAAAGGGTGGATTATTATGCCTCCCCTTTTTAGACCATATAGGGTAACTTCCTGATGTGGCCATGCTTGTGGGAGTGTAGCAGTGAGGACCACCAGAGGTCACTCTTGTCACCATTTTGGTTTTGGCCGGCTCCTTTACTGCAACCTGTTTTATCAGCAAGGTCTTCATGGCCTGTATTTTGTGCTGACCTTTCCTATCTCATCCTGTGACTGAGAATGCCTTAACCGTCCGATAATGCAGCCCAGTGGGTTTCAGCCTCATTTTACCCAGTTCTGCTGAAGAAGGAGTTGCTCTGGTTCACAGGCCTCTGACAGCTTCACAGCCGAATTCTACCAAACATTTAAAAAGAAACTAATACTAATCCTCCTCAAACACTTCCAAAATATTGAAGAAGAGTGACCATTTTCAAACTAATTTTACAAGGCTAGCATTAGCCTCCTATCGAAACTAAATAAGGACTCTATGAGAAAATAATATTTCAGGCCAATAACCCTGATAAACATAGGTGCAAACGTCCTCAGCAAAATATAGCAAACCAAGTTTAACAGCACATTGAAGCAATTATTCACCATGATCAAGTGAGATTTATGCTTGGGACGGAAAGATGGTTCAACACACAAAAATCTATGAATTTGATACATTGTGTTAATAGAATGAAGGACTAAGCTATATGATCATTTCAATAGACACAGAAAAAGCATTTGACAACATTTAATATTTTATCATATTAAAAAACTCTCAACAAATTAGGTATGAAAAGAATGTACCTCAACATGATAAAGGCCATATATGATAAGCCCACAGCTAACATCATCAAACTAAATGGTAAAAAGTTGAATGCATCCCTCTAAAATCAGGAAAAGACAAGGATGCCCACTCTCACCACTTTTATTCAACATAGTACTGGATGTCTTAGCTAGAGTAATAAGACAAGAAAAAGAACAAAAAACATTCAAAAAGGAAAATAAAGAGTAAAATTGTCTCAATCTGCTGATGGCATATTCCTATGCATAAAAAACCCTAAAGAAACCACCACAAAACCGTCAGAACTAGTAAATTCAGTAAAGTTGCAGTATACAAAAGCAACATGTAAAAATCAGTAACATTCCTTTATACTAACAACAAACTACCTGAAAACCAAATTAAGAAATCTATCCCATTTACAGTAGAATAAAGAATAAATTTAAAAAAAAAACATGTAGGAGTAAATTTAACTGAAGTGAAAAATATGTGTATTGAAACTTTTAAAACATTGATGAAAAACATTGAAGAAGAGACAAATAAATGGAAAGATATCCCATGTTCATGGATTGAAAAAGTTTATATATTTTAAATATCCATCCTACCCAAAGTGATCTACACATTCAATGCAGTCTGTATGAAAATCAAAATGTCATTTTTCATGGAAAGAAAAAAGTGTCCTAAAATTTATTTGAAACCATAAAAGACCCCAAATGGTAAAAGCAATTGTAAGCAAAAAGAAGAATCCTGGAGGTATCATGCTACCTGACTTTAATACCTATTGCAAATTTATAGTAATTGAAACAGAATAATACTGGCATAAAAACAGACACATTGACAAATGGAACAGTATGGAGAGCCCAGAAATTAACCTGTGCATTTATGGTCTATTGATTTTTGGCAAAGATAACAAGAATATGCAATGGAGAAAAGACAGTCTCTTCAATAACTGGTGTTTGGAAAGCTGGAGATGAAAATGAAGTTAGACCCTTTTCTCACACCATATAAAAAATATCAACTCAAAATGAACTAAAGACTTACATGTAAGACCTAAAACTCTAAAACTATTCAAAAAAAAAAAAAAAGAGAAAACTGCATGATATTGATCTGAGCAAAGGTTTCTTGGATATTAGCAAAAAAACACAGGCAACAAAATAAACAAATAAGAATACGTGAAAATAAAAAGCTTCTGCATGGCAAAGGAAATAATAGAGTGAAAAAACAACCCAGGAATTGGGAGAAAATATTTGCAAACCACACATCTAATAAGGGGCTAATATCCTAAATATTTAAGGAGCTCAAACAACTCAATAACAAGAAAATAAATAACCCATTGAAAAATGGGCAAGGGATCTGAACAGACATTTTCCAAGAGAAGACATATATATTTTGTAATATATATTTTGTAATATATTTTGTAATATATTACAAAATTCTCAACATCTCTAATTAGCAGGGAAATGCAAATCAAAACCGCAATGAGATATCACCTCACATCTGTTAGAATGGCTATTATCAAAGTGACAACAGATAAGTGTTGAAGAGGAAATGGAAGAAGGGGAAACTTTGTTGTTGGTGGAAATGTAAACTAATACAATCATTATTTAAAACTCTATGGAAGTTCCTCAATAAACTAAAAATAGAGCCACCATATGATCCAGCCATTTCACCTCTGGATATAGTTCCAAAGGAATGGAAATCAGTATGTTGAAGAAATGCCTACACTTAAGTGTTCATTGGTGCCTTGTTCACAATAGTCAAGATGTGGAACAGACCTAAGTGTACATCGAAGAATGAATGGATAAAGAAAATGTAGTGTACATATATCAATTAAAAATGTAGTGTACATATATCCTTAAAAAAGAAGGAAATTCTGCTATTTGCATCAATGCAGATGAACCTGGAGAAGATTATATTATGTGAAATAAGCCTGGCACAGGAAGACAAATATCACATAATGTCCCTTACATATGCAATCTAAAATGTCAAACTCATACAGGTAGAGAGAATGGTGGTTACCAAAGACCGGAGAAGGATTGGGAAAGGGGAGATGTAGATCAAAGGGTATGTTAAAAGAAAAACTTCAGCCGAATTAAATTTAATGGGGTTTAATTGAGCAATGAACAGTTTGCAAGCTGGGCAGCCCCCAGAATCACAGCAGATTCAGAGAGACTCCAGGGGTGCCTCATGGTCAGAACAAATTTATAGACAAAAAAAAGAGACATGACCTACAGAAATCAGAAGTGAGGCACAGAAACAGCTGGATTGGTTACAGATTAGTGTTTGCCTTATTTGAACACAGTTTGAACACTCAGCAGTGTATGAGTGGTTGAAGTATGGCTGATGGGATTGGCCAAGACGCAGTATTGTTACAGGAACATACTCTTGAGTTAGGTTTTCAATCTTGTCTACCTATTAAGTTAGGTCATGGTTCAGCCACAAGGACTCAAATATAGACGTACCGAGTCCTTCTCAGGCCATATTTAGCTCACTTTAACGGGTACAAAGTTTCAGCTGGGCAGGAGGACTGCTTTTTAGTGATCTACTGCACAGAATGGTGAATAGAATTAATGCATTGCATCTTTTAAAATTGCTTAAAGATTAGATTTTAAACGTTTTCACCAAAAAAGTTGATAAGCATGTGAGGTGATGGATATGTTAATTAGCTTGATTTAATCATTCTATAATGTAAGCATATATTGACACATCATATTGTACCCCCAAAATATTTACAATTATTATTTGTAAATTTAAAAAATTAAATTGTTTTGATGGTATATTATTGATGGTGTCATACATTACTTTTGACTTTAAATATTGGTATATTAGAATAGCCTCACTGTTTAATTGAATGTTTTTATAATAAGCCAGTATAATAGATTTGATATTATGAGATGAATTTGAAGTTATACATGATTTTTCTGTTTTACAAATTTGTGTTATATACAAGGTAGGCTTTTTACATTTTCCAGGGTTAAAAAAAGGGGGTAACTCATTGATGTAGATCACTCTATTATTTCTCCCAAGCTTGTTAGAGGTACAGCAAATGATTTTCAGATGGAGAATGAGATTCTCTCAGACTTTTACAAGCTAGTTGTTTTGATTGGTTGTTTGTTTGTTTGGTGGTTTTTTTGGTTTGTTTTTGTTTTTGTTTTTCTCTGAGATGGAGTCTTGCTCTGTCACCCGGGCTGGAGTACAGTGGCCCGATCTCAGCTCACTGCAACCTCCACCTCCCGGTTCAAGCAATTCTCCTGCCTCTAAAACACAGTTTTATTGTGATAAATTTACATTTTATGTAATGACCAATTTAAAGTGTACAATTCACTAGTTTTAAGTATATTCACAATCACTAGTCTGTCTGAGTCCATAGATTTGCCTATTCTAGACATTTCCTCTGAGTAGAATCTTACAGTATGTGGCCTTTTGTGTCTGGTTTCTTTCAGTTAGCATATATTTCCAGGTTCATCCATGTAGCATGTGTCAATACTCTGGTCTTTTTGTTTTCAAAGAATATTTCATGGTAAGGATATCACACATTTTGTTTACTCATTCATCAGCTGATGAACATTTTGAGTTGTTTCTTCTTTTTGCCTATTATGAATAATAACACTGTAAACATTTATGTATAAATTGTATTTGAACATAGGATTTCATTTCTTTTAAATATATACCTAGGAGTGGAATCACTGGGTTTAAGAGTGACTCTATTGTTTAACATGTTAAGGAACCGCCAAACTGTTTTTTAAACTGGATACCACACTGCCAACAGCAATGGATGAGCATTCCATGTTCTCCACATTTTCATCAGCACTTGCTATTCTCTCTCTTTTTCAATGTAACTGTTCTGTGGGATATGCAGTTGAATGCTATTATGGTTTTGGTTCGCAGTTTTCTAATTACTAGTAATGTCAAATAGCTTTTCATGTGCTTATTGGCCATTCATTTATCTTTGTTGTAGAAACATCCATTCAGATCCTTTGCCTAGTTTTTAATTGGGCTATTTATTTTTTTATTATCAAGTTGTGAGACACCAGCAGTGTTTGAGGATTCTACAAACTAGTTTAAACCTGTGGTCATCATTCTTGCATAACATACATAACTCCATTTTTAATTAGGAAAAAAAATTAACCAGGTTTCTGTAGCTAAGCAATGTTCATCTTATATGTGAATACCCAGTCAGATAATATAACTTACTGATACTACTATTTGAAGATTTAAAAATACATAATTTCATCTCCTACCAAACCCATTTGCTAGCTGATATTTTAGTGCCTTTCCAAAGGCATGACAATTATTTTCCTATGAACTTTCATTTTGAAGAAGGAAGTTGAAAACAAAGAGATGTTACTATGGCTCTCATTACCAAAGTCTACTTCCAAAAGAAAATGATAGAGGAATATGAATTTAGAAAATATCTCCTATGTCTCTGGTTGTACAGAGTGTATGTGCGTATATATATATATATATATACTTTTGTTGGATGGAATATGACCAGTGATCTGTGGAAATAACTGCTGGAAAACCAAAAAATTGGGATACTATTTGCAAAGTTAATATTTTTACACCTGTTAATTTTACTCATTTAAGAAAGTATAAATAATTTTATCATGCGTTCATTTCCGGTGCCTGGAACATGAAAAAACTAAAATATAATTTTAAGTTTTTCGCTTACTCAGGTAAAACCTCATTATCTAACCTCAAGACCACTGAAATGAAAATCCAGTTGTAATCATAATAACACTCGCACAGTGGTGATAGGTTATATCCATACAGTTTCTGCTCCAGTGAAATTCCATTTTAAGAAAATACTCTATGCTATTCAGTCGCTGGACATTCATTGTAATAAGATGTCATTTGTATAAGCAATATGAATTGCATTCTTCTGTCAAGTGGACATAAGTTCAAGTATGGGTGACTTTGAGAAAGATTCTATACATGGTAGCTGACCAATTTGTTTTGGTGGCTATATAGCTTAAATATAACAATGGTTGATATTCTATGAAAAATAGACAACAAAAAAATCTAATTGTCATTGTTTAAATTTAAACAGATAATGTCAAAACTCCAGAAAATATGTGACATCTGCTAAGTAATAATTCTCTACATCTCTATACGCCTTTTTTTTTTTTTTTTTTTTTTTTTTTTTTTTTTTTTGGCAGAGTTTCGCTTTTGTTGCCCAGGCTGGAGTGCAATGGCGTGATCTCAGCTCACCGCAACCTCCACCTCCCGGGTTCAAGCAGCAATTCTTTTGCCTCAGCCTCCCAGGTAGCTGGGATTACAGGCATGCACCACCATGCTCAGCTAATTTTGTATTTTTAGTAGAGACGAGGTTTCTCCATGTTGGTCAGGCTGGTCTCGAACTCCCGACCTCAGGTGATCTGCCCACCTCGGCCTCTCAAAGTGCTGAGATTAAAGGCATGAGCCACTGCGCCTGGCCCTGTATGTGCTTTTTTATAACATTATCTTATGAAATGTAATTGGAGCATTCATCACATTGTAATTGTACCTTTGTGTGTGTTTGTGTTTGAATGCGTGTGTGTGTGTGTGTGTGTGTGCGCGCGCACATTTCAGAGAAACCTGAGAAATAATTGTATGGAAATAATTAAAGGTATCTTATGAAATGTAATTGGAACTTTTATCACATTGTGATTGTACCTTTGTGTTTGTGTTTGAGAGTGTTTGTGTGTGTATGTGTGCATTTCAGAGAAATCTGAGAAATAACTAAGGGTATGGAATGTATGCTTTATCTTCATTTTGCCAGTACCTAGTACAATGTCTGACATATAAAAGTACTCAGGAGGCCGAGGTGGGCGGATCACCTGAGGTCAGGAGTTCGAGACCAGTCTGGCCAACATGGTGAAACCCTGTCTGGACTAAAAATACAAAAATTAGCCGGGCATGATGGCGAGCACCTGTAATCCCAGCTACTAGGGAGGCTGAGGCAGGAGAATTGTTTGAACCCGGGAAGCAAAGGTTGCCGTTAGCTGAGAGCACGCCACTGAACTCCAGCCTGGGCAACAGAGTTAGACTCCATCTCAAAAAATAATAATAATAAAAAATAAAAGGTACTCAGTTCCAATTCATTAATTAATTACTATAGTTGCTGCTGTTAGATTGGCTGCTACTGCTGCTGCTACAAATACTATCTCTGCTATTGCTCACTATTATTTATTGAGGGCTCATTATGTGCTATACTCTTTTTACTTCTTCTCACTTCATCATCGTAAGTATGTGGTACTCTTGTATTGCTTTATCACTGAAAAAAATAGGGTCACACAAAAAAATAAAGCTGGGGAGAGGTTAAAATTATTTTATCAAGGTGAGTATTTTGGTCTGCTTTGTTTTTTTACATTTGTTTCCTTGTGTGTTTTGCATATATAATTTCCTCAGAAAATGTGACGGTAAAAGAAACTAGGATCCAACATATGTTTCCAAATAGGTCATAGTGAATGGGATCAGACATGTGAAAATTCATTCAATCTCTCATGGGCATCGGGCAAGGGAAAGGGACATGGGGTTGTACATGTGATATCTTTAGTTCAACCACCTAGGAGGAAAAAGTGTGCTTTTTTTCTTGTTTTATTTGCCTCTCTGCCACAAACCCATGTTTCAAAGCTTGTTCAAAATGAATACTCAATAAATATTATTGATAGGCAGCCTACCTGCCACACATCATCTTTGATAAGTGAATTATAATGACAATACTTTGGGTTACGATGTCTGCCCTTTGAGAGAAAGAGAATTTAAAGTAACCACGGCCTATCTCAGCTTGCTGGAGATATAAATCTCTTGGCACCTATTAGCATAATCTACTTATGGAAGAGACATAAATGTGGAGCGAAAGGGTTGCAAAATGATTTGTTGGGTACTATTGTTGAGCCCTAATTTAAATCACTTGGTTTTCTCCATTATTATTCCAAAGCCTCATCTGAATCCTTCTGACATTGAATGTACTTTATAGGAACAGTATATTCCTATAACTTGTAAAATCTTTAATGTAAGATTTATATTATCTTCAGTAAGATGGATGAGAATAATTACTTTAAGTCTTGTTAAGTTCCTCAACCAATGCTGTTACAAATTTGTACAACAGAAAGAATTAAAATGTCACAAGATATATTTCTGAGCATAACAATCACAGCATTTAAAAATATTCTTAAGCATAGTATTTTTAAACAAAATTCATGGATTATCTTTGCATATACTTATACACGAGGACAGTATGGTTTTCTTGAAAACATTAGTTACAACCAGCTTTCAGGTTCATTTTTAAGTATGGGCCATATTGCTGTATGTGAAAGCTGACGTTTCACCAGAGCCACAGGGACGTTAAAGTTTAAAACAGCAAATGTAAAATCATGCCACTGGTCATTTGATAAACTTGAAAAGAGAGGACACAAATGTCAGTATCTGTCAAAGTAAACACAATTCATTTTTTTATTCATAGCAGGGAAAGTCATATGTCAAAGGAAAAAAAGCGTAATTTGCTGTGAGAAGAATGCCAAGGAAAAGGACAAAATAACATCGATTCGGTAGTTAGACTGAATATACAAGAAGTAAGGAAAAATGTGTATTAACACATATATATCAGAGATGTAAAATTTATATGAGGTACCAAAACATCATGTTATAGATTCCCTTCTCTACATAACCAGGCTGATGCTCTGTGCCAATGTAAATAGGCCCAATTATTACCGTTTCTAGTGCAGCAGAAAGCAAAGAGATTCACAGAAAATACTGCCTTAGGCTGTCACCATGGTGGTCTCAGCAGGGGCTGAGCTAAGCTTGAGTCTACAGGACTGACCCAAGGCTTGAAGAAACCAATGAGGGTAAGACTTCACACAGAGGGTCGTGTCGCAAGGGATTTGCTAAAGATCAAATCCTGGTGACCAAGAAAAGCCCAATAGCTAGATAAGAAGTGAAGTCTTTGAAGCACACCTAGCAGAACAGAACTAGAAGAGGAGTTTTCCAAGGTAAAACTCTGCAAATATTCTTTGAAGCAAAGATACAGAGAAGATGAAAGATTTTATAAAAGCATTTTTGGCTCCTTCCATGGGGATAGAAGGAGTTCTTTATGGTTGAAGAAGTAAGTAGGAGACAGGACTAATAATACTAAGAACCCACCCATAGACCTTTCACTAAGTTACTCGATTTCCATTGCCTTCAAGTAATATATTTGATTGCCTTATTTGTAAATGTGATAGCTAACTTGTCTTCCTTACAGAACACCTGTGAAGATTAAATGTGACTATGAACATAAAAGCACTCTACAAAATTAAAATGTATTTACAAATGGGGAATTATTATTCTGTTAATTTTCTTTTATTTTCCTTCCTTTCTTCTTTTCTTACATTCAACAAATATTTCATGAGCATCTAGCATGTACCAGACATTCAATGCCCTAAGTGAACAGTCAAATCTTCTTCCTCTAGGGAGCTCACATTCAAACTGGAGAAACGTAAAACGAAATGCTGCAGTAGATGGGACTAGTGCTACAGAGGACAGTAAATAAGAAAAAAAGAACTGGAGCAATGATAAGAAGTGTGGGGGTATTGAAATTTTGACAGAGTATCCATGGAAGTCTTCCCCGAGAAAGTGACATTTTATGCAAGACTAGGAGACATGAAAGAATGAATCATGCAGATTTCTAGGAGAAGACTATCCAAGCAGAGGGAAGAGCAATCGCAAAGGCCATGAGGTGGAAGAATGTTAACATATCTCAGAATCTCCAAGGGGAGCTATATGGTTGGAGCAGATAGAGGGAAGTAAGTAGGATATCAGTTTAGAAAGGCAATGGAGCAGCAGATCACATGGAACCTTTAGGGTCATGGTGAAGGTTTTGGCTTTTCCTCTCAGTGTGGGAGAAACAGGACATAGCTAGGCAACTCAGTTTGTTACATTGAGAATAGACAGAAGAGAACCGATGGTTAAAACTGGGCTCCTGTTAAGAAATATACTGAAAGAATTCAGTTGTGAAATGATTTAATGTGGAAAAGAGTGGTAGCAGTGGAACTGTTGAGAAATGTTAAGATTTTTGGATATAAGAATAAGGTAGACTCAACAGGTTAGCTGGAGTCTTGGGTGAAGGTTGTTAACAAAGAGACTAAGTAGTCTGAGCAAACAGGGGGCTAGAGTTGACATTAACTGAGATGGGAAAACTGGAGAGAAGAAATTCTAGGGAGGAGGAAGTGGTAAGAGTTCAGTTTGGGACTTTCTTTCTTTCTTTCTTTCTTTTTTTTGGACGGATTTTTGCTCTCGTTGCCCAGGCTGTAGTACAATGCATGATCTCGGCTCACTGCAACCTCTGCCTCCCGGGTTCAAGTGATTCTCCTGCCTCCGCCTCCTGAGTAGCTGGGATTACAGGCGTGTGCCACCATGCCTGGCTGATTTTGGTATTATTAGTAGGGACGGGGTTTCACCATGTTGGCCAGGATGGTCTCAAACTCCTGACCTCAGGTGATCCACCCACCTTGGCCTCCCAAAGAGCTGGATTACAAGCCTGATCCACCGTGCCTGGCCAGTTTGGGACATTTTAACTTAGTAGAGGCATATTAAACATCCAAGTGGAGATATCAAGGAGACTTTTGATATAAATCTGAAGATTAGGAGAGTAGATTTGGTTGAATTCATAAATGTAGGCATTGTTAGAGTAGAGGTGAGGTGGTCTGTAAATCTAGGTGATTGGTTAAGACCTTCAAGGGAGTAAGTATGGACAGAGTAGAGATCTACAAATTACCTGAGAGGCATACCTATGTTTCCACGTCAGAAAGATAAAGAGGAGGCCGGGCGCGGTGGCTCACGCCTGTAATCCCAGCACTTTGGGAGGCCGAGGTGGGCGGATCACGAGGTCAGGAGATCGAGACCACGGTGAAACCCTGTCTCTACTGAAAATACAAAAAATTAGCCGGGGACAATGGCGAGCACCTGTAGTCCCAGCTACTCAGGAGGCTGAGGCAGGAGAATGGCATGAACCCGGGAGGCAGGGCTTGCGGTGAGCCGAGATCGCCCCACTGCACTCCAGCTTGGGCGCAGAGCGAGACTCCTTCTCAAAAAAAAAAAAAAAAAAAAAAAGAAAAAAAAAGAAAAAGAAAGATAAAGAGGAACAAGCAAAGAAAACCAACATGGGACAATCAAATAATTAGGACAGTTAGGACAGTGTGGTAATTTGAAAACCAGATACAGAAGATATCCCGGGGACAGGGAGCAATGCACTGTCAAATGCTTATGATTCAGTTGTATGATTCACTGCAACCTCCACCTCCTGGGTAGATGGTTGAATGAGGATGACCACTTACCACCTGCTATGGTTTGGTTTGTTCTTGCCCAAACTCACGTTAAAATTTGATCCCAAATGTGGCAGTCTTGGGAGGTGGGGCCTAGAGGGAGGTGTTTCAGTCATGGGGGCAGATCCTTTATGAGGACAGAGTAATGCCCTCCTGCAGGGTTACTTTTTTGCACTCCAGTGAAGGGGTTAGTTCCTGAGAGTAGCTTGTTTCAAAGACTCTGGCTTCCTCAGTTTCTCCCTCTTGTTTCCTCTCTCACCATGTAATCTCTGCACACACCTGCTCCCCTTCCTCTTTCTCCAATATGTTGAAGCATCTGGAGGCCCTCACCAGATGCAACAGGCTGATCTTGAACTTTCCATCCATTAGATTCATGAACCAAATAAACATCTTTTCTTCACAGACAGCCCAGTCTCAGGTATTCTGTTACAGCAACACACATGGACTAAGACAGCACCACACACAACAATGCAAAAGCCATTTATGATCTTGACCAGAGGAATTTCACCTCAAAGGTGGAGGCAAAATCATGATAAAGTTAGTTTAAGAATACAAGAGAAGGCTGGGTGCAGTGGCTCATGCCTGTAATCCCAGCACTTTGGGAGGCCATGGCAGGTGGGTCACTTGAGGTCAGGAGTTTGATACCAGCCTGATCAACATGGTGAAACCCTGCCTCTACTTAAAATACAAAAATTAGCTGGGTGTAGTGGCTCATGCCTGTAATCCCAGCTACTTGGGAGGCTGAGGCAGGAGAATCGCTTGAACTCGGGAGGCGGAGGTTGCAGTGATCCATGACCACACCATTGTACACCAGTCTGGGCAACCACAGCAAAACTCGGTCCCAAAAAAACAAAACAAACAAACAAAAAAAGAGACAAGAGAGAAAGTGGAGACAGCAGGGTCAGTAATATTTTCAATGAGTTTTGCTACCAAGAGAAGCAAAATTAATAATAATAATAGGGGATATAAAGTTGAGCCAACATTCTTATTTTAATAAAAAAAATCTTCCATTAGGCAGCATTCAGAACAGAGGAAAACAATTGATAATTATTGGAACAGTGCTATGGAGCAAGTGAGAAGGCATGGATCTGGTGTCCAAGTGAGTTGTCCTGAGATATGTTTGGGAACTCTGCTCTGTGGAAGCAGGAAGGCCAGCAGAGTTTGTGGACACAGATGGATTTTTGGGTGAATGTGGTGCAGAGAGCCCGCAGAGGCTTTCTTCTGAGTGGTCTGGATTCTCAGTGAAATTTGAAGCTAAGAGGAAGACTGGCATAGAGGGTTGGGCTTAGGCAGAAGTGGTATATCAAGATAAGTGCATGGAATTGGGGAATGGGGGACAAGGCAGGGAAAGTATATGTGAGGAAATTACTATGAATGATCATGTAAGCAAGGTAAAAAGGAAAATGAGAAATGAATGGTGCAGGGTGAAAGTGAAGAATAGTGAAAGGCTGGAAGGTTTATAAATCCCAGGGAGGTATGTTTTCAAAGCTGCTTATTGGTCGTGAGACCCAAAAGTCTTGGTCATTCCGTCTGCTAAAAAGTCTTCAGTTTCTTTGTATCCTTATCGCCTCTGCCTTATTTAACATTATCATTATCATTATCATTATCATTATTATTATTCCCAGGGCATTTTCCTTGCCTCTTCTAGAGTGCTAACCAAAATATCACAGAACAGCATCATGAGCATCACTTGGGGGCTTATTAGAAATGCAAATTCTCAGGCCTCGACTTAGGCTTATCGAATAAAAATCTCTAGGACTGGGGCTCAGGTGATTCTTCTGCATATCAAGTGTAAAAATCTCTGCTCTTACTGCATATAACATACAAAAATCTCTGTCCATACAGCCACCCAAGGGATTTTCCACATAAGCAAACCTCATTATGTTCTACTTTTCCTCAAAAAAATTTGAGCCTGCTTTACCTAAAGCATAACATCTAAAAATGTGTGCTTAGCTCATTCCCATATTTACACCTGTGCTCTCGTCTTGTTGATAATATCTTCATGTCTTAGCCTCTGCTGTTGTTGGCTCTGAAAGGTATTCCTTATCTTGCTATACAGGCAGAAAAAAATTTATTCAGTTTTCACATTTAAGCTGAGACCTGTTCTCATTCCTCTTGGTCAGCTCAGATGCTTTTACCCTATGCTTTCACCAAACTTTATATAGACTTCAATTTTAATAGGCATATCATTATATTATTAATTTTTACATGTATTGCCCTCCACTAAACAGAAAGCTCCTTGATGGTAAGTATATTTTTCTTTTATCTTTGATGTCCAGCATCTCAATCAGTTATTAGGCAGTCACTATATGTTCTTGGAAGATGAATAAGATATTCCAAAGTAAAGTGGTTTCTGCATTTAGATGCTCTGCCATGTCTGAATGTGACTTACAATAATTTATTATATGTTATACACATCCAGAAATAATGAACAATCTGTTTATAAAGTCTATTTCCTTACACCAGGTCATTTATGAATATGTTAAATAACAAGATACTTATAATACTTTCATTTTTCATATGGTAAAGCCAAACGTTTACTAATTTTTCAGCAAGACTTTGTGATTTGAGTGAATTATTTTTCTTGAACTATAAAGGATTTTTCCAACCATTCAGATTCTTTCCCCAGAGTACCCTTGCAGTACCTGACAATATTTGCCTATTACTTTGTCAAGGCAATGTGAGTGTTTCTGTGGTTTTGCAACAAGGTTTGCCAATTTGAACAATGATTGAAGTCATGATAATGACCTCATCAATTTCACATTCTAGACTGAGCCAACCAATTCCGTTCAGATTTGTTATGCATTTCATTTCATGGGGCCATACTAAGCAAACACTTTCCTGTTAATCTTTGACAGGTGGGCCAACTGACACATTTAAACAAATGAAGTCTTTTTATTTATTGTTGGTAGATTAATAGAATCATCTGATAGGTAAAACCCCAAAAATTTTGGTGTAGTTTCAACACTTCTGGCTGATGTCATATACTTGTCACACAATAATGCAGACTCATATTACTCTTGAATTATTACAGTAAATGTGTGACGTGGTATAAAAAACAGAACTACATAATACTCTAAAGTATTAAAGGCATATGAAATTTTGGGGAAGACTACTTGTTTTGGAAGAGCATTACTAAGTTTACAAAGGAATTTACATAGCTTCCTTTAGTATTTTGACAATATAAGGTCATTGTTTAAATTTTGTTTTTCTAAATTATACAGAGATTATATCAGGAAATATATATATGTGTGTTTGTGTATGGTGTGTATTCACACACACTCATACACACTAAATTAAAGGAATGAGTCAAGAATTCTTTTACAAAATTATAAACCCCTTGGATTGATACTTCCAAGGATAATCTGCTTGACTTCTTGAAATTCTTGACATCTGTATTCTGTCTTCCTTGGCACATGCTAGACTGCCCTTTCCAGCATTCCTGTAGCTATGTGTGATGATGTGACTGAGTTCTGGTGAATGCAATGTGAATGGAAATGATATGTGGTTCTTCCAGGCAAGAACCAACCAACCAAACAAACAAACGAAAAAAACACTAGCCGACTTTTCCTGTCATTGGGCTGAATGAACAAGAGTCCAGGGATCTAAAGGATGCACCTGGCTCCAAACTGTTTCAATAGAGAAGAAAGCCCCCCACCTCCAGTCCCCACTAACCCTCATTAAATTACGATCTAATCAAGATATTTGCATTGTTTTAAACCACTCGGATTTTAGGATTCATCTGTTATAGATGCTATTATTATTTGCCTTAATTATCATCACTGGAATCTACTCTCAATAGCCAACAGTCAGTCTTATCCCACCCTTTATCCTACCCTAGGTATGGTTGAATGTCTAGGTTCTGCTTGGCAAAGATGATTTAGACAATAAAGGAGAAAAACTGGAAACTTGGACAGCGATCAAGGCAGAGGATGGCCAAGCTTAGCCTGGAGCATGCACAAGTTTTCAACATAATTGCAGGCTTAGTTATGGCCTTAGGATGAAATAAGTGGAAAGCTAAAATGGAGAAATAAATTAAGACAAAAATCTAGATATGACTTAGGTAAAGGTGAAGTCTGTGACAATGATGAGAACTTGCTCCAGAGGTTTTATAGCACATAGGTTTACTGGTCAAAGCGATATTTTAGCAGCTCTGATTCTATGTAGCTGATTCATATTTTAAAAGCCCCACCTTATAAGAGTAAAAACTATTTTCTGTATTGGTAGTATTTTTATTTATCGAACTCTTCCAATATGTATTTGATGAAAATGATAGGTTGTTTGCCACATTGAGGAGAAATAGGGACACATCATATGCAGGCCAGATAGTGGCTAATCTCCTAATAATTATCAGATTGTCTCTGGACAAGGGATCAAGTTTATCTGAACTTTACCTACAACCATGCCAGCTAAGCAGAACTACTCATGGATTTTCAGTTTTTTCATTTAAATTTGTATATTAATATGTGATCCTAAGTAATGATGTATCTAAAGCATCTTTGTTTACTTTACACTAAATAAATTAGGATTTAACAATACAGTTGTACAATTTGTTTTTTTGTCCAACCCCAAGATTATTGATCTCCAGGAACTGAATCCCCAATGCTCAAGTGATTCAACACTTTAAGACAGGCAAGTAATGGATGACTGAGTTAAACACAAGGTAGAGAGCACATGGAATATGCATCTAACTGGTTTAATTAAGTTAGTTCCATCTAACTAACTTCCAGACTAGGAAGCTGAGGAGCAGCAACAAGAAGGCTCTGTTTAGAGGGTCATTAGTAAGGAATAGACAACTCAATTAGGTAATCCAGGGAGATACATTTTGTAACATGTGTTTTATAAACATAACTCAGCTCAATACATACCCGATTGAAATAAAAGAGTAAAATGTGAGCACCTCTTGTGTGTCAGTTGTGACGCCTCATGTTTTACTAGTGTTATCACATTTAGAGCTTAGGGCGGTCTTGCAAAATTGACAAGCAATTTGAGAGATAAGAAAACTAATTCAAATTTTGAGGTCACATTTGGATACTATGATTTATGGCTTGCTAGTCACTTTCACAAAGTGATTTTTTACAGCCATAATTTAACTTTCTATTTTTTTAAATCGATTTACCTCTTGTCTTGGCAAATAGGTAAACTGGATTATAATTACATGGTACCATCATAGGTTCCCCAGAAAAGGGTTTTTTTAATCCTCTCAAAATCACCACCACTTGCTCACTTATATTTTGAATCTGTTTTAGAAAACATAAAACTTTCTTTCTATTATTAGAGCTCTAGCTTTATATGTAAAAACACCTTTGGAAGAACTGGCACATTAAAATTGTTTCACACAGAGATGTAAATGGGTGCCAATCTTCATTAAGTTTGCTGTGACATAAACAAAATTATACTTTTTCTATATCATGACTAAAAAGTAAAAGAGCGAAAGTAGACTAACAAAATGGAGAGAAAGATGCCATAAGATTTCGCAAGAAACACAGGAAAAGGGGGGCAAGGGATATTAAACCAAAATATGAGATTAATTCCCACTTTTTCTAAGGCACAACTTCAGATGTTTAATTTTTCATTACTAAAGAAGATAACGATCAACCTTTAAAAATAATTGTTTTTCCATATTATCTTTATATCTGTTTTTTATAGTGAGACATTCATGTTTTGTTCATTCACTTCCATGATGCACACCTTGCACTGATAAAATGACCAAGGCACCCCCAGGACTCATCATGGATGGTGACGAAAATCAAGCCTGAAAACTTGGATTCAGTGTGTCATCCTTTATAGTAGCACAATTTAGAAACAAGTTAGACTATTATGAATAAGTTGTTTCTCCACAGATTATTTTCTGTTTTGTTAAAACCCCATTTAGAATGAGATTGATTGAATGGTAATCACAACTATTCTAGTTGCCAATCACTCTTTGGGCTTCACTTTTTGTTATTGTCCTAGAGGGTCAGCAGCTGTGAACTTGTTCTCATTAATTTTCCTGACAAGCGCTAGTTTACATAGAAATGGTTGAGTCCAAACTCAGGACCAATTTGAATTCATTTGAAGTTAGGGAAACAACTGATTAGGGCAGACCTCTAAATTCAACAGATGTTACATTCAGTTTTGCAAACTGATGGAGATTGAAGATCCGTGGCCTCAGTGGTTTATAATTGCACTCTAGCACACAATTGATTATTGTATATTATTTGTCATTTATATGGTATGAAAGCCTGGAGCCTTTGACTCATAGATGAATGTGTCAGTGAAGATGCTTTAGGTATCCTACTCAACCCACCCTTATACACAAAAAGACTTATTTACCTAGCAGGAATCTAGAAACAGGGTGGATCTCAGGATGATGGATCCATTGATTCCATGCCATTGAGGACTGCAACACATATTTCCCCACAGTGCCAGTTTCATCCTGTATTGACTCTCATGGTGAAGAATGGTTACTATCAGCAATTGGACCTACATGTTTCTTTGTATATATCTAAAAGCTGAGAAAGAAGGTTTCTCTTCAGTATTCTAATCAAGAAAGTGTTCTATGATTTAGCTTGATTGGATTGTCTAAGTCACATGTCAATAGTTAATAGTGACTGCGACTGGGGAAATATAATGTGCTGGTTATATTGCACTAATGCACATAAGCTCCATAACAGAAGAATAGACGCATTGCAGTTCTTTTGGAAGGACGAAGGGGTCAATATTTGCTAATCACACAACCAAAAATATCAACGATAGCCTCTGTCCAGCATCCAGAACACAGTCAGGCTTTGTTCTTCATTTCATTTTTGCATTGCATTTTGTAATTTTGTTTATTTATTTTTATTTTTGCAGTTAATGAATAGTAATATAGTCATATACCATGTAATCATGTTTTGGTCAACAACAAATTTCATGTATGACAGTGGTTGCATAAGATTATAATGGAACTGAAGAATTCCTATTGCCTAGTGACATCACAGCTGTCTTAATGTCATAGCACAATGAATTTCTCGTGTGAGTGATGATGATGCTGTAAACGATCCTGCTGTGCTGCCAGTCATATAAAAGTATACCACATGCAATTATATATAGAACATAATCCTTGATAATAATGTTACTCGTTTATATATTTACCATACTAGATTTCTTATGGCTATTTTAGTGTGTACTCCTACTTATTAAAAAAAAGTTAACTGTAGGCCGGGCACGGTGGTTCACGCCTGTGATCCCAGCACTTTGGGAGGACGAGGCGGGTGGATCACGAGGTCAGGAGATCGAGACCATCCTGGCTAACACGGTGAAACCCCGTCTCTACTAAAAATACAAAAAAATTAGCCGGGCGTGGTGGCGGGTGCCTGTAGTCCCAGCTACTCGGGAGACTGAGACAGGAGAATGGCATGAACCCGGGAGGTGGAGCTTGCAGTGAGCCGAGATCGAGCCACTGCACTCCAGCCTGGGCAACGGAGTGAGACTCCGTCTCAAAAAAAAAAAAAAAAAAAAAAGTTAACTGTAAAACAGCCTCAGGCAGGTCTCTTAGGAGGTATTTCAGCAGGTATTGTTATCATAGGAGATGACAGCTCCATGCACGTTACTGCTGCTGAAGACTTTCCAGTGGGACAAGATGTGGCAGCAGAAGACCGTGATGTTGATGATCCTGACCCTACGGAGGCCTAGGCTAATGTGTGTGTTTTTGTCTTAATTTTTAACAAAAGCTTTAAAAAGAAAAAAACTAAAATAAATAAACTTAAACATAGAAAAAAGCTTAGAGAATAAGGATATGATTAAATAAGATATTTTTGTACAGCTGTGCCATGTGTTTTAAATTAAGTGTTATTACAGAAGAATCAGAAAGTTAAAAAATTTAGTTTATAAAGTAAAAAACTGCAGTAAGCTAAGGTAAATTTACTACCGAAATTTTTAAAAATGAATTTAATAAAGCCTAGGTGTGCAGTGTTTGTAAAGCTTACAGCAGTGAACAGTAATGTCCTAGGCCCTCTCGTTCACTCACAACTTACTAAGTCCTGCAAGCTCCATTCATGATAAGTGCACCATTGTTTGCCTTTTACAGTACTTTTAGTGTACTTTTTCTATGTTTAGGTATGTTTAGATACACAAATACCATTGTGTTACAATTGCCTGCATTATTCAGTAGAGTAACATGCTGTTCAGGTTTGTAGCCTAGGGGCAATAGGTTATTCCATGTAGTCTTGGGATATAGGCTAAATCCTTTTTATCCTTTTTTTTTTTTTTTTTTGAAGCAGAGTCTCACTCTGTCACCCAGGCTGGAGTGCAGTGGCAAGATTTCTGCACACTGCAACCTCCCCTTACTGGGTTCAAGCGATTTTCCTGCCTCAGCCTCCCGAGTAGCTGGGATTAGCCACCATGCCCAGCTAAATTTTGTATTTTTAGTAGAGATGGGGTTTCCCTATGTTGGCCAGGGTGATCTTGAACTCCTGCCCTCAAGTGGTCCACCCCCTTAGCCTCCAAAGTGCTGGGATTACAGGCGTGAGCCACTGCACCCAGCCGGGATATAAGCTAGATCCTATATAGAAGGTAGTGGTCTATACACCTTCAAGGTTTGTGTAAGTAGGCCCTATGATGTTTGCAGGAAAACAAAAATCACCTAACAAGGTATTTCTCAGAATGTGTTCTCCTCATTAAGTGATGCATAACTGTAAAATGATAGTAAGAAATATACATATATAATAATATATAAAAAATCTGTCGTATCCATAAAAATTAAATGGAATGTTTTGAGAGGCTTGACACAATTAAGTGGTTAAAAACTCTTGTAGAATTCATGTTAAAGAAAAAAATATAAAACTGACAGGTGAGATAGAAAAATATCTAGAAGGATTTGCTTTTTTTTTTTTTTGAGATGGAGGTTCGCTCTTGTTGCCCCAGCTAGAGTGCAATGGCGCGATCTCAGCTCACTGCAGCCTCCATCTCAGCCTCCTGGGTTCAAGCGATTCTCCTGCCTCAGCCACCCAAGTAGCTGGGGCGACAGGCGCATGCCACCACGCCCAGCTAATTTTTGTATTTTTAGTAGAGATGGGGTTTCATCATGTTGGCCAAGGTGGTCTCAATCTCTTGACCTCATGATCCACTCACCTTGGCCTCCCAAAGTGCTGGGATTACAGGCGTGAGCCACCGTGCCTGGCTGAAGGATTTGCAATCACATTATTTTGCAAACATTTTAAATGTTTTAATGTTTTACTCTTCTTTTAAAAAAATGAAATTAGAGACCATAGAAAATATATTGTGGCATGATTATACTGAAAGGAAAAATTTGAACTTCAACTAGGGGCTATGCACTCAAAGAAGAAACATTTCTCCTGCATCAAATAACTAGTGAATGGTGTCTAGTAAAAATGCGTTTGTGCTAATACAAAAATGTTAAGATGTGCTTATTATTTCTATCTTAACTTAGCATTTTTAAAATCAGTGAACAATTGCTTTATTTATTTATTCATTTATTTATTTATTTGTGATGGAGTCTCACTCTGTCACACAGGCTGGAGTGCAGTGGTGCAATCTCAGTGCGCTGCAACTTCGACCTCCTGGGTTCAAGCAATTCTCCTGCCTCAGCCTCCTGTGTAGCTGGGATTATAGGCATACACCACCACGACCAGCTAATTTTTGTATTTTTAGTAGAGATGGGGTTTCACCATGTTGGCCAGGCTGGTCTCAAACTCCTGACCTCAAGTGGTCCACCCACCTTGGCCTCCCAAAATACTGGGATTACAGATGTGAGCCACTGTACCCAGCCAATCAATTGCTTTAAATAAGAGGACATTTAATTTTAAGTTAGAAGTTTAAAATAAATTTAAAATAAACCAAATAAGTTTTACTTGATTTAATGAAAGTGAAATAATTTGAAGTAGAATTCTGAACTTTGCATAAATGTTTATTATATGAATTTTTTAAATGCTCAACAATGTTTACAAATTAAAAATCATTAAAATGTTGTAATCAATTTAAACTACATATTTCATTTTTACAGCATTAGTTGATTCTTTGCTGTGAAATACATGATTAGAACTTTTTTCCCCTCCCTAATTTTTTCTTCTACCTTCCCTCTGATTTTGTTGCTTTATTCAGCATTTATATACCATTCTATAGCTATAATTTTTCTATTATTTTGTCTGTTATATTTAAATAGATTCAATGCATACTGCAACTTCTACCATGGTATCTCCATTTCGTAGTTATTTTAATGTATTTCTTGGCTGAATTTATCATTGGGCAGGTAATTTTTTCCCAAGAAAAATGTGAGTGCAATATTCCTCGAAGGCTTTTCTTGTTCACATTTGAAAATGTCTGCCTGTTGCCTTTTTCCTCAAATGATAATGTAACTGGAAATAACACAGAATTGTTGAATCATACTTTCCTTTTTAAACTGTGGATAGTTTTACATTGTTTTCTAGCATAGAATATTTCAGTGGAGAAGTTTGAAAACAGCATACTTTTTCCCCCTTGTAAGTAACTTCTCTGCAAAAAAGTATTTCTTCATCCTTGAAGTTCAATAAAAGATGAATTAGGATGGATATGCATGCTGGTGGTTCAGTGATAAATTCTCCTAGTATTTTATTTATTGTGCCTATTTAGTTTGCAGGTTCAATGATCTCTCATTTCAGGAGTTTTTTCCTATGTTACTTTCCTCATTACTATTTTCCATTCCATTTGTTGGATTTTCTACTTGGAGAGCATCAATTATCTTTACCTTCAATCTTCTTTGTCCATCTTCCATATCTATCATCTTCTAATTGCTTTGTTCTCTCGGTCTTTTTCTTCACATTCACTCTGATTAATTCCATCTATGCCAGCAGCTTGATAGTCAAGAATCCTACTTTGTTTATTTTGGCTTTCATTCATTTATTATATTAATATCTGTAGCAAAATTGTTTTGATATTCAGTTTGCTTTGATAATTTTTATTCTGCTACTTATTAACATTTTTCTCTTTTATTGAATTCATGTTTATATTAAATATGTTTACATCTTGTGCAATTGTCTCTGTTGTTTTATATTTTGTGTGTTGTGATCCTCTCAACACACACCCTACCCTTGACCAAACACGCTTGCAAAGTTATATGCCATTTTTAAAATCTCATTCATCATTAATTTGGGCAGCTCTGTCTACACCTTCTATTTACTTTGTTATAATGTAAGTGAATGAATTCTTCACACTTTCACCATCTTATCTAGTACCTTTGCTTTTCCTTTGAAATTATTATTTGAACGGTGGATACTAAAAATAATCTACTTTTTTATACCTGAAGTCATGAAGACAGCTTTATCTTGGATAAAGCTGAGACCATTCCTTGTTGGAGCACATAGCTCCATTCTCTTCTTCGAAACTGAATGTTTTGTACTAGAGCCAGCTCTCCTAGACAGGTAGGGGTTCTGCAAGTCAGCAACCTCCCACACCTGTCCCCCACCTCAAGAAAGCAATCACTCTGAGTTTTTCTACCTCTGCCAAAGTCCTACATTGCTGTGTAAAATCCTCCAATCTCAAGAGCTATTTTCATTCTAAAAATTTTCCCTGGTTTACTTCTAGTATTCTTAATATATTTCTCTCCAAACTGGAGAAATATTATTAAGGTTATCAGCTAACTCCTCTTCTTTCCTCGATACTGTTGTACCCAATTCCAGAATTTTCTTTTTTCTTTTTTTTTTTTGATTGCCACTTTTTGATGTTTATATTTATTTGCTGATGGTGAATCTTATCAAATTTTTTAACTGGTTTTGTGCTTTTTTGGTTTGCAAATTTGGGAGGGAGATTTTGCAATACTGCCTCCCTCTGACATCTTAATGCAAAATCATCTGATCTCTAAAATTCTACCAGACATGACAAAAATGAAGTAAAAGAAAAGAAGTACAAGTGAGTGAGGGTATTAGCAGTTTTTCAGTAATTAAAAGTAGCATGATGAATTTAGCAGTTTGGATCGCTGTCCTGACATTGGCAACGTTAATCAGTAAAGTTTCTACGATGACGGAAATGTTCTATATATTTCCTGTCCAATATGGTTACCACTAGCCAAATATGGCTATTGAGCACTTGAAGTGTGACTGGTGTGAGTGAAGAACCAATATATTCTATTATATTTTAAGTAATTTGAATTAAAATAAAAGAATTCAGTAGGTCTCATTCAGTAGGTCGGGGAAATGACCAATGACCTGATACTGCCTATCCAGGGTACCACACTTTGAAAAGCTCTCCTCTATATAACCAACGTTTCTGTACAGATTAAAATCACACTGTTGATAAAATTGTGCAATCACAGGGAAAGTAGTAGTTGGTGCAATATACTTGTCTATAACAACATAGGGATTCTCAAGAATCTCAGGACATAATCTCCAGTAACAGACAAGACACTACTCTTTGTTCTTTCCTCACAGAAAATAACCACCTTGTCTCTTTCCCATTCCTTTCAATTGTTACCTGGTGTCTTGTGATAATAATAGAATCACAAACTTCCAAGTCCTGGTTTCAGCTGTAGAAGACCCTTTAAATAGGAGTTGGGTTCATTCCCAAATAAAAAATGACACTAATATTTTAATATAGGTATATATCCAAATGATTTCTTCATGACATTGGTAGATAATTTTATAACTCACTAAAGGCAAATACTTTAATGAAGAGGAATGTTTTATGTCATGCATGCTTGTTACCATCAACAATATAAGAATTATAGTTATTTCCTTCTGTAATTCCTATCCCTAACACACTGTTGACATTTTCCATGCTGGACCGTATAATTCAGTATGGCTCCTCTCACACAAATTAGGACATTTTGTCATGTTCAAATACAGAGAAAGACATAGCCTAGCATTTCCTAGAGAAGAAAAATTGTCAGCATTTTCTTCCACTGAGCAATCTCACCATATAGTTTCATTGATCTAACAGCTGATCATATTTTCTAAATCAGTTGAATTTTGGAACCATTTTCAGTAGTGTTTTACAGAGACATTTTCTCTAGCTTGAATATTTAAAATGGTAAATATTGTTATCTGACTTTATTAAAAATGTTAATCAGGCTCATTGGGGAAAGAGAATCAAGATAATCAGAACAGCTATTCTATTTTTTAAAAAAATTTAATTAAAATAAATTTAAAAATTCTTCTAAAATCTTAAAATTTTTAAAATTATATGACAGATCCCATCAGTTCTTTCCATCAGTTTTGATGTTTCCTATCATTTTGTTACTGTTTTAACAAATATGTAATAAAAATCATGATGTTTATTATTATTGTTTGAGTCTATTGTTTGGTAGGCTTTCTCTATTCTTGCTATAGATTTGTACTCAGTTATCTTAAATTTTTGTCACTAGTTGAGTGAAGATATTTGATATTTAGTGGGAATTACTAAACAATCTGTCACGTTTGATAATGTGTAAATATGTTGGACATATAATCTTATATTTTGAAAACTTGTTATTGCAAAAGCTATACTTTAATCTTGAAAGCAAATCACCAAGTGAGATTTACTCAGGGTTCATTTTACATTTTTGTAGCATTCATGGATGAACTACTTTGAAGATTAAATTATAAGCAATAAAAATTAATTTACTACAATAGTAAATATACCAGTAAATTAGTAGGAAATAATCACTTAAAACTTATACAATACAATTTTAATTATGTAGAGTCCATGTTTAGATATATTTTCTTTATGATATACATGGGCCACAATCAAGCATATTAATTTTCTGCCTGCTGGCGCAAAAGTCGGTTGGTATCTTCCTAAGAAAATTTTGTCAGTTTCTATAGTCTTTTGCAATCGTGTATATTCTAAGACTTGTTTGGTTTTGAGTGTTAAGTCTCTATTAATCAAGTATAATGAGGATAATCTCTCTTACATTATTTTAAACAAGTAATTTTATTTCCCTACCTTCCATCATTTTTCTTTGTTTTAGCTTTATCAATGTATAACTGACAAATAAAACTTGTTTACAAGCAGGATGTACAACATAATGTTTTGATATGTATATACATTGTGAAATGTCTATTATTTTTCTTGATTCCTCAATCAGACAGCCTATATGTGAGGACAGTGATGTGAATATAATTTGTGACTGTGTGTGTTTTACCTCTTTATCCCTGCTAAGAAAATAGATAAGGAAGTTAAGTGGAAAGAGTATCTTTATATGAGTAACTATGAATCTGATCTTATTTATCTTTTAATAATAATATAGTCACAAATCTTCTGTTCTCTAACACTATCTATAAATGCCTATTGACACTTTTTTAATATCCCTGTAAAATTACGTTGACACTCAAGAATATGGTTAAGAGGCATTTCTCTACTGAGTTACAAAGATTTTATAAACAAATTTAAAGGGCAAGCGATACATTAGGAAAAATTATCTGTTACCTATATGATGTACGAAAAAGAAAAAGTCACACTTCATACAGTTTCTAGAACTTAGAAGGAACAAAAAGAATCTACTGAAAAAAAAAAAAAAAGAATACAATTCAGAAATTCCCTGAACTAGAAATCCAAATGGCCAAAACACAATCCCAGGTTCAATTAACAAATCCAACTCTTAACAATAATGATACCTCCCAGAGCGCTGCAGGTATAAGCATGAGCCACTGCACCCCACCTCCACCTTTCCTTTTTAACTATCAGTTTCATATGCCTGATTTTTTTTTACAATAAGCATGTTATATTTGTAATTTTTCGTTTAACTTAACGTCAATAACGTTTTATACTCCATAGTATAGAAAAATATAGTATACCTATTCTTTTATATTTAAAGAAAAAAATTTAAATTAAATGCAGTTTTATCGAAATATGTTGTGTCATTTTTTTTTTTTTGTCCAAAACAACATAGCTGTTCTGCAGTGAGTGTATGGAGACAGGTGTTATCATATACTATTGATAGGAGAGTAAATTGGCCCAGTCATTTCAGAGGGCAATTTGACTGTATTTCTCAAAACTCTAAATGCTCAAATCCAATAACTGATAAACTCTATTTCTAAGAATAAGTCCTGAAAAGACTTTCAGCTGGGGCTATACGATGTCTGTGCAAAGGGCCCCCTACCACATTCTACGACATTTTTATGTAACAGTAAAATATTGGAAAATACCTCTGTATCCAAGTCTGGTAAAATAATTTTGTTGAATCAATATAATGGATTACTTGTAGCCAATAAAAATAAGAAGATGTGTGTGAAAAATGTATCTTTTACCGAAAAAAAAGCAAGTTGAAAAAACAAAATCTAGTTACAATACTTTTTTACATAAAAGATATACACATAAGTGAATACATATGTGCATGTATAAATGTATGAGCCCATATGATCGTAAGAAAAAGGTCTAAAATGGTATACTCTAAATAGTCTACTACTGGGAATTCGGACTGAGTGGCTAAGTGAGACCCCTTTCTCTTTCTCTTTCTCTCTCTCCTTCGAAACCGGGTCTCTCTCTGTTATCCAGACTGGAATGCAGTGGCACAATTATAGCTCACTGCAGCCTGGAGCTCCTGGGCTTAAGTAATCCTCCTGCCTCAGTTTCCTGAGTAGCTGGGACTACAAGCTCATGCCATCATGCCCAGCTAGTTATTTTTGTTTTGTTTTGTTTTTTGTTTTTGTTTTTTTTTTTAGATAGGGTGTCTCACTATTTCTCCAGGCTGGTATCAAACTCCTGGCCTCAAATGAGTCTTCTCCTGGGTCACTGGGATTACAGTGGTGAGCCATTGTGTTCCACCTTTCTTTTTATTTTTGAGACAGGGTCTCACTCTGTCTCCCAGGCTCCAGTGCAGTGGCCCGGATCTCAGCTCACTACAACTTCCACCTCCTGGGTTCAAGTGATCCTCCCACCTCAGCCTCCTGAGTAGCTGGGACTACAGGCACACACCACCATGCCCAGCTAATTTTTGTCTTTTTTGGTAGAGATGGGGTTTCACCATTTTGGCCAGGCTGGTCTCGAACTCCTGACCTCAAGTGATCCTGTTCTGTCCTGTAAAAAAATAAAAAATAAAAAAACACTTTCAATAATATGCAGCAAGCTTTTGTTTGGGAGGGGAGATAATATGTAAATTTAAACTATTAACTTTTCTTTAAGGATTACTACAAAAATAGATTTTAATTCCTATCATTATGGACTATTAACATTTTATATTCTACTATTTCAAGCAGTTATGCTAATTTATTTTAGAGATTCTTCAACTCTTCTTTTCCAACAAATATTTTATAATGATCTATAAAGATAAAAAAAACAGAGCCAGTAAATTATGACTTTCCTGTTATACTAATGCCACACATTTTATGATTGTAGTGACGGAGGTGTCTGTCATGAAACAATGACTAATTGTAGGAAGTACAAGCCTTCTTTAAAATTAATGAAGCTTCAGCAAAATAACAAAATATGAAAAAAATCAAAATTATTTTTTACTTCAAATATACATTTTTTTCTTTTTTTTTTTTAATTGACACAAGGTGTCACTCTGTCACCCAGGCTGGAGTTCACTGGTGCCATCGTGGCTCCCTGCAGCCTCTACGTCCCAGGCTCAATCCATCCTCCCACCTCAGCCTCCTGAATAGCTGGGACTATAGTCGCATGCCACCATGCCTGGCTAATTTTTGCATTTTTTTTTTTTGTAGAAATGGAGTTTCGCCATGTTGCCCAGGCTGGTCTTGAACTCCTGGGCTCAAGCGATCTGCCCACCTGAGCCTCCCAAAGTGCTGTGATTACAGGTGTGAGCCACTGCGCCCAGCCAATTTTGCAAATTGAACTTTCAATTATAAAAGATTATTTGTCTTACTTAAGCATTGTTGTCCTACTAAACTATTATTTCTATGCATTAATTATGCCTTGGTGACTTTAGGTTTGAAATCAAAACCCATTTTCTTTTATATAATATTAACAACACTATTCAGAGCTAAGACGCATTATAACTAATGATGCATTATATACACTTGATTATTAATTTTGCTTTTTAAGTGAATAGGAAGAGTGGATATGAAGAGAATGCCCACAGTCCTCATTGCTGTGGAGATTTGCTTTCCACGATTTTAAATCAGGGTTATCAGAAAAATCCAGTTTCTCCCTAGAAAGGTTTAATTAGTTACATTTGTTGAAAAGTTTGACACATTCTAGATGCTTTATATTTAAGACTGTTTTATAATTAAATGCCATATTATGAAAGCTCTTCTTGCTTCTGTATTAACTTATTAATGGATATTGAATTAAAATCATAAAACTTAATCCTCACTGTTGAATATTTCTTAAATCTCAACTAATAAACAGTTGGCATATGGACATTCTTATTGAAATATAGGACATTTTTACTGGTGAATACATTTTTCCACTTAAAAGTTTTTATGCTGATATAATATAATTGGTTCCATTAAGCTATTATAATATAAATTGCATTCCCCTAAGGTCATTTTAGCCTTTATACATGGTTAAAGGCTTTCATGAGTTATATAAAACTCAGAGCTGTCAATGAATTTACTATTGAGTAGCAGACTGCCAAGTAGACTGAACAACTGAAAAAGGGGAGAAAAAGCAAAATAATGATAAAAGTAGATAACATTTATATAGAGCTCACTACAAGTCAAGCACTTTTTAAATTGTCTCATCCATATTAATTCATCTAATTCTCATAGTGATCTTGGAGGTTGATCCCCTTATCATCCCCACATTGCAGAAACTGAGGCCTGGAGAGGTTAAGCAATTTACCTGTTGTCATACAGGCAGTAAGGAATTAAGCTATGGTTTAACCCCAGATATTCTGGCTCCAGAGCCCATGCTTTGACTTAACCACTCTTACACCGCCTCTCCATGCAAATTGCTGTTGGATGATTGAAATGGTATGGGTGCTTAGAATCAAGTGACATATAAGGCTGCAGACAAAGACAGACCTAAGATTTTATCATTTTAATTCACTACCACTAAACAATTGGCCAGAACTTGGACTTTCTGGCCCTGTACTTATTTCTTTCATAGTCTACACCAACATATTTGACATGATTCCATTATGCTGCCACAAGTGATAGACTATAAAGAGAAGTAGTTATTTGCTTCTAATATTTTGCCAGATAATTAATATAGAAAATGATACATTTTTTCTCATCAAATGCACCAATGCATTTTTCACTGGAATATGAACCCTGGTTTGCAGAATGGGGCTAGTCTGGGGCAAATTCGCGACTGCCGCCTTGGGTTCCAAAGACCAGGCTGACTCAGGAGGAATATTACTCAAGGTAACTGCAGTTTGTAAAACATGAGCAAAAAGAATAAAAAAGGAAAAAAAAAAAGATCAGAGCTGCAAGTCACTTGCATATGGCAATCCTGCAGGCATGTTAAGAATGAAAACAGCTGGGTGCAGTGGCATGCACCTGTGGCCCCAGCTACTTAGGAGGCTGACACAGAAGGATGGCTTTAGGCTAGGAGTTCAAATCCAGCTTGGGAAACATAGCAAAAACCTGTCTAAATAAATAAATAAATAAAACAGGATTTAAATAGGAAAATGACTAGTGAAGGAACCCATCAGGCACCATTGTTCTAGTCAAAACTTTAGCATTATCCTAGTTGGTTATTTCCCTCACTTCTCTACTGTGATATCAGAGCCTTTAGGAAGCCTTGAGGTTCATTTCCAAAACAAAGTGAGACATGCCCGTGTTTGCCATTGCCATGACTCCTGCCCGCTATTCCAATCTGTGGTCCTCTCTTCCCAAGAGCTCAGCCTTGGCCCCAGCTATGTGTCCATTTCCATGGCTTTTACACTTGCCCTCTCCTAGGTTGTATCCATGACACACAGCAGAGGTTTTTAAATTAGAAATGAGATCATATCACTCTCCTGACTAAAACTCATTTCAGTGAAAATAAGAAAGATTGATATATTCCCATATATGTTAGAAGAAAGTTCAAACTCCTTGTCAAGGCCCAAAGATTCTAAATAATTCTGCCTTTCTCTAACTCCATCTCATCTCTTCTCCCACCTCCTCCCATCATGCTTACTTATTTCCAGTTATACTGTTTCCCCTTCAATTCTGCAAATAGCCACACTGTCTCTTGACTTTGTACTTTTTTTTTCCTTCTGTCTTGAATGCTCTTCCCTAGCTCTTCAAATGCCTGGCTCAGTCTCACTCAGTTCTGGGCTCACTGTCACCTTTTAGAGAAACCTTGCTGATCAGTTATTTAAAACAGGGCTCCTTATTTATTTTCTATCACATCACCATATTTATTTTCTTCACAGCAGTTGCCACAGTCTAAATTATCTTGCGTACTTATTTGATTACCTGTGTATTGTCTGCTCCAGTAGACTGTAAGCTTTACCAGAACAGCAACCTATTCTGCCTCATTTGAAGTGTGCACCCTACGTTGAGCAAAATGCCTGGCATGTAGTAAGCAAGTGGTAAATGTCTATTGCATGAATAAAACTGATGGTGAATCAGTGTCCACAAATGAGCCAAGGAAAATGGCTCAGGGCTGAGACCATGGGCAATGAACAAGTTCTTTGCACTGTTTGTGAGAATAGAAAGGCTGGACGCAGTCACATTGGGGTTGAGTCCTCAAACTGTAATAAGCACAAATAAAATGATGAAACATAGTAAAAGATTGACTGTTCCCTGTCCATCTATCTATCAATCATTTATCTGTTTACCTGTTGCGTGTGTGTAATGTCTACAGCTTTATCCTTCCATAAAATGCATCTGTATTTGGTAATTTTCAAATTTAATCATTATACGAGCATAATTAAAATATAGGTGTTTACATTTCATTTTAAAAATAAACACAAACACTTATGAGTTTTTAGAATGCACAAGTAAGTGGAATATCTTGATTCTCAATCTCAGATTAACTAAAGATATACTTTGTGATGCGGCAGTCAATTTATATGGTTAAATAGTGTATCATTGAAATGTTTGCACATAATATGTGTAACAACGTTTGAAATAATGAAACCACAAAAGCAAAGGAAATAATTTTGATTAAAAGTGAACATGTCTTTTTGGAAGTTAAAATAATCAAATGGTAAAATTTACTTCTAATAATTGCCATATTTATTTTTTTGCCTTCCTTTTATTTAGAGACTAGTAAACCTATCCCACAAACTTCTAAAAGCATACAGATGTGAGAAAAACTGAAACTGAAATGGTCATTATTTCTAAGTGCAGGTTTCCTTTTCAACTACAGCTGGGTTTTGAGCATATCTTAATTAACAAAAAAACTTAAAGAAAGCTTAGCAAACTTTGAAGGAGGAGGTCATTGCATTAATGTTCTTTCCACCATTCTCAGCAATATCATTTACACCTGCTTCCCTGAGGTGTTATTCCATATGCCCCTTCTGGATATAACTATGTAGGGAGTGTAAGAATCTTTGCAAATTGCTTCAAGAGGGTGATCATGATTTTAACTGCCACTACCAATCAAATCTGAAGGTCCATTTATTTAATGAACATGAATTCATTTAAAAAAGGAAATTACCAAACTCATCATTTAATAACAAAAAGGGAAACAATACAAATAAATAGCATAATTAAATAGCAAAAGGCAATGAGAATCCAAGCATTTTGAGTATCTGCAAAAGGCTAACAATGAATTTTACAAATTAATTGTTGTAGGACAGGTTTTTTTGTTTGTTCTTTTCTCAGGATGGAGTCTCACTCTGTCGCCTAGGCTGGAGTGCAGTGGCGCAATCTTGGCTCACTGCAACCTCCACCTCCCAGGTTCAATCGATTCTCCTGCCTCAGCCTCCCAAGTAGCTGGGGATTACAGGCACACACCACCATGACTGGCTAATTTTTTTTTATTATTATTTTTAGTAAAGATGTGGTTTCACTATGTTGGCCAGGCTTGTCTCGAACTCCTGACCTCAAGTGATCCTCCCACCTCGGCCTCCCAAAGTGCTGGGATTACAGGCGTGAACCACTGCACCCGGCCTAGGATAGGTTTTCTCATTGCCATTCCATTAGAGTTTTGAAAAGAAATCTATTGAAAATCTCATTGAACTATACACTTATATCAGTGATTTTTAAGGCATATAAATTACACATCAGTAAAGTGGCTAGAAAAGTTATATACCAAAACTTTTTTCCAACCATATCTCTACTCTGCATCTTCAACTTTGTTCAGTCTATGCCATAGCACTTTCTCCTGTATCCACCATGTATTGCGTTACCCAACCTTCTGCTGAACCTAAATTTCATCACATTTTTAAATAAGTAACTCTCCTCTTGGACCTTAGGCTTGAGATAAATTTTCCACTTTTGAGGGATTTTTTTCTAAACTATAACTTCATATAATTTCACCCCTTGATTTTTCTATCCTCTCTTCTTGTCTCCTCTCATGTCATCTCCTTTCTTCTCTTTCCTTCCTTGCTTCTTTTATCACTTTTATTTCTGGCTATATAGTCAATTCATTTACTCAGAATGTCACCCATCCTAATGCATATAAACTGTGAAGGACTGGCACTTCTCTGAGGCTCTGAGGTTACTCTTACTTTCGAATGGAAATTGGAGTTCTTAAGCACTTTCTTAAAGCTAAAATTAGTAGGAATGGCTATTCATTTCGCTCACGTGAAAAGTGTCAGAAATATCTTGGATCTTATTGAGGTTTTATTTCTCACTACTAGTACAAGACTATACTCCTTGAGTGTGGAGACTGTCTTTTTTTTTTTTATTTTGAGATGGAGTCTCGCTCTGTCGCCCAGGCTGGAGGGCAGTGGCTCGATCTCGGCTCACTGCAAGCTCCGCCTCCCGGGTTCACACCATTCTCCTGCCTCAGTCTCCCGAGTAGCTGGGACTACAGGCACCTGCCACCACGCCCGGCTAATTTTTTGTATTTTTAGTAGAGACGGGGGTTTCTCCTTGTTAGCCAGGATGGTCTCGATCTCCTGACCTCGTGATCCGCCCGCCTCGGCCTCCCAAAGTGCTGGGATTACAGGCGTGAGCCACCGCGCCCGGCCGCCGGAGACTGAGTCTTGTTCATCTTCATGTGCATCTCCCATAATTGAATGTCTGGCGCAGTACTCAAAAAGTAGTATTCACCAAATTTTATGTACCCAAGAGTTCCGGAGAAGTTTGTTGCTTTTATTATTGCCCTTGTTCACTGAAGCAATCGTTCCAAATGCCAACATAGGGTCCTACCTACTTCTTATTCAGTACCGAAGGTCCACACCTATGTGGTATCAAATGATCATTTTGTAAATAATATGATCTCTGTCACTTTACTAAAAGGATAAATAAGCTGACCACATATGTGAGAAGGAGGAGATGGCAAAAAGCCAAGACTCTTCCTTCTGCTTCCTTGCTCCCAGACTCTTCAGGACCTTACCCCATAAATTATCATTTTTTTTCTCATCTACTGCTAATTGATCCATCTTCTAAGCAAACAATCATACTCCAAACACTGCTTTTAAAAACAATCTCTCCTTAGGTCCTTTCCCCAGGATATAGTCATTTTTCTCTTTTTGTAGCCCTTTTTCTCATCTATCGTTCGTCAACAATTTATCATCAATATGATCTATGCTTTATATCCATCAGCTTCAATCTAGCTTTTTCTTCTACCGCTATTATGACACTTCTTGTGAAACGAGCACATATGACCTCTTAATCGTTAAATTATAGAGTTTATACATTGTTTCTTGTATTTTGTTTACACTGAATAAATCTATAGAATTTGTAATAATTGCTAAACGGGTGAAATCACTGTAGCAATTTCAGCCTTGCTTATTTTCAATGGCAAGTAAACCTCATTCTGCATTGATGGTGAATTCGAATGCAAAGATATTTATTTACCATCTGCAATTAAAAAAAAAAGGTATGGGGGAAATACAATGAAAACACCAAACAGTATTTTTATCTAAAATTACTATAGAGTGGTACAAACAACCATATATCATAAACTACATTATGTTGTGAAACAGACTGTGATGATGGAAATCAAGTGTATATTAGACAGAAGGGTTATTCTAACTGGAAGGACTGAGGGGTGAGGTCAGGGCTGCTTTAAATGTTGTTTTCCTTATTTTTTTCCCTGCCTTTATTTTTCTTCTTTGAGCTATTGTTGTTTGAGTGGTTAATAACACTTCTCAGTTCATAGGACATTGTCATCAGGGGTCTATGCAAGGTTCTCTTATATTTTATGAATTTATTTACTTCCCGTAACTTCATTCTCCACTGGAGAAAATTTTATACAGAAGATCACATAAGACCTGGACCTGCGTGGATGAATAGTAGGATGTCCACAGAGGAAGTGAACGGTGCTCCAAAAAGAGGGAAAAGGGGAACAGAGGTACCAAGAAGTGATCGTTGCTTAAGTCTGGGGTTAGTGGCAGCATATATGTCTGGAAAGATTGTTGCAGCAAGTTGTAAAGGTCTTGATATCCTGTGTTAATACAATTGCAACACAATGACGAATTTTGAGCAAATGGGTTACTGGATCTGGCTCATGTGAGATCATTCTAACAGAGGTATAGAGAATCTATTTTAGAAACTGGGTCAGAACAAAGATAACTGAGAAAGAACATAGAAGAAACTGGACTGGGGAGATTACTTTGAAGGTGGTTCGTTATCTAAATCATAATCACAATTAAGATTTAAGGTAACATTTCCCATTGATACAGAAGTTTAAAATAAGACAGACGTCTATATGCAATTGATCTTTTCTTCCATACTGGTCCTACAGACCTGATGTTAAATGCTTTTTAAAGTGCTCTTGTTATCCCTATAAACATTGGAGCTTGGTTTCCTTGGGAAATGTAAGAGCAGAGTTTATTAGTCTATTCATTCCTAGTACTAAAATATAATGGATCCAGTGGTAGAATGAAAGATTCAGTTTCCTTAACTTGCCATATATCTTTTATTACATTAGTGATGTGTTTTCCTGATATTTGTTTCCTTGTAAACTGTACTTTTCTCTCTTTCTTTGAATTAGTTGCTGTCAAGGTGAATAGCTGAATAATCTTGCATTAATTATTAATACTTCTTATGCCAAAGCTAATTAATGGTTTTGCACGATTTAAATAAACTACAGTCTTATATAAAGAAACAGCTACTTTCTTTAGAAAGCTAACACATGTATAAACATGTGGTCATAATTTGAACATATTAATAATGTAAGTTTCCAACACAATCATATAAAGAGATTAGAAACAAGGAGATCCTAAGTCTTCTATGATGGCATTCTATTAAAATCCAAATTGAAATGTGTGAAAAAAGTCACTTAAATATATGTGCCTATAATCTATCTATCTATCTATTATCTATCTAATCTATCTATCTATCTCTTTTCAGCCATCTATCTATTTATTTTACTGCCTTCATTACCTACAATTTGTTTGTGATTCTCCAGATTCCTTTTTTTCCATGTTATATTTATCAAGAGTTTTGATTTTGGTCTTGGATTTTCTGCGATTTCTTTATTATTCTACATTTAATTATTTTTATACCCCAACAGTTAATGTGATAACCTTTTTCTATTAATATCCCTTTCTCCATTCAAGTATTTATTTTTCTCTTTCCTCTCTGGCATTTCTCTGTGAAGGAACCTTGACAGCTTTCTATCGTGGTGTCTTTATGGTGATAGCACAGACACCCTTTGAAGTTAACATCTTGTTTTCTCCTGAAGATAGTTTCTACTCCTTCTTTATTTTCTTTGACCCCAGCCCAGACTTCAATAATGCATTGAACTTGCTGTCGCTGATAGTCCTTCTGCTGGTATTTCATTGCTGTCTCTCTTGCTCAGGGTCAGGGACAAACTCTCAGCTATTCTCACAAGATTTTAATAGGCTTTTACTGGCACTTAACATTTATAAATAGCAAACAACAAATGACACTTCTGTTGCATGTGCTACAAAATAAGGTTTTTGTACATTGAAGAACATATTTCTTAAATAAAAAAATTAAATAATGTCTCTATAACTACATAACAGAAAATAAGACCAAACCATAATTATATAAATTAATATTATTTGGAAACTTTTTAGAACATGTTTTATATTTTTATGAGTACATGTAGGCTTGGTTATGCTGGAGTAAAATATCAACAGGAAAACACCAGTGTCTTAAAGCAACAGTTACAGCCCTAGCCAACTGTCCAGGGCAGCTGTCATCTCAGTTTTTGGCTCACTAGTTCAGACTCCGTGATCATCAAGAGAAAGGTAGAGTGTTCAGGAGGATCCACACCAGTAGTGTAAGGCATTGGCCTAAAAAGGAACAAAGTTACTTTCTCTGAAAAGCCCTTAACCAGAATTGTTCACAGGTTTTTACCTAAGTGAAAAGAAAAAATGAAAAAGACACAAAAGGGTAATTCTCTTAAATAGCTACAGAAGTAAATAATCAGATATGGATAAAGACTAGAAATTTCTCCCACAACATGATACAATAGATTTCTATTTTACTGCCAACAACATATTAATTCTACTTTACTCCGTGGCTACAAACTTTGGAAGATGTTATTAGCAAGCATTAGAAGAAGAAAGAGAGATAATTTGTTATGGATGAGGCATTCAAATCTTGATAAATATAAACAAAGTATTTGGGACTAGAATAAATAATGCAAATACAAGGTAAAATAAAAAGGATACATCAGTTAGAGGACAGAACCATTTTGAGAGCTTTTTGGAGATGAGTGTGGAAAGAAAACAGAAAAAGTGGCAGAGAGGGATTGTATGGAGGTTGTGAATGGTGACTATTAAAAACACTAAATGCTGATATCCACATATGCTCATGTCCAGGCAAGTCCACAGATGGAAAGATACTTAGCTGTAGCAGAAATAAGGAATGGGCTGTGAGGTTTACAAGAACAGACCACCCAACACCTATGTGAAATGAAAACCTGGCCAAGGACCACAGTCATGAATTCAACTTCATTGTCCAGAAAACTAACTCATGCCTCATAGAAATATTATGGAAGCATCCATTCCTTTTTACATAAAGCCCAATTTTACCGTATGCAAAAAATTTACAGAGCATGCATATGCTTGCAAATAATTCATTTTCTGTGCCCTTTATTTTACTCATAGGTTGAAGAAGTAAAGAAGTGTCACAAAGGAAAGATCTTCTGGGTCCTAACAGGACTAATATCAGTGCCCAAAATGAAAATGCATTCTTCTGCATACCTAGTTACTGTTTCGGCTGGTGTTTCTTACTTACAGTTAATAAAATGTTAGACATCCCTCTAGTTCACAGGTTAGCCACCCCAGCTCCCCATTCAGAGCTCCCTAGTGGGAAGCTGTTGAGCCTAAAATTCATGATTGTCAGCCTCCAACAGAGAACTTCCACAGATTGCTGCTGCTACAGCTTCAGGATCCAATCCAAGTCCTGCTTTATGCCAGTCTGGTGTTTAACACTTAGTCTGGTTTATTACTTCCAATCAGTCCTTTTTGGGGTTATGTTAACTGAAATTAGTTTCTGTTGTTTGCAACCAAAGAACCATAATTAAGACTGCCCTCTCCACTCCCCACACAGCTGAGATTTTTGCACCCAAGTTGACTAAGAAACTCCTGAAAATAAATAGCAGGTTTAAGATCCTGTTCTAGAGAGCTGAATCACAAGACATTTAAAGGAGAATAAACAGGGTTCAGTTACTAAATTCCTTTACTGGAGAAAATAGTCAAAAAGAGAAAAAGCAAACATAACTAAAGAGTTTTAAAATCGATGACATCAGAAGAATGTGGTATAATCAATAGTTACAGGAAGTTAGCCTGTGAATGACTTGTAGACAGTCAATGGTATTCACATATGCATACGCTTCCATAAACCTGTTGTTCTTTCTCAACTATTCCACATATGGAAGGGGCATGTGACTCCTTTCCCTCTCCTTTATTGATTTTCCTCATGGTCACTATTCCAACTGCACTCAGCTAGCGGTAGTTGTCTTAATATGTCATACCCTTTAATGTGTATGTTTTTGTGCCCAAGTTATTTCTCCTTCCTTGGAGTGACTTTTCTCCCTTGTTTGTCTGTCACTTCTTAGAATCAGCTGTCACTCTTTGAAATCTCAGAGTCAATAACAAGAACAACTACAAAAATGATCACTCACTCACTGCTTTCTCCCTACAGTTCCCAGAACCTACTCCTAGTATTCCATTTGTCAAAATGCAGTTTAGTATTTAGTTGCGTCTGTTATCTTTAATCCACTGTGACTTCCTAAAAGTGGGGCTGTGACTTACTTGTCATTGCATATCTGGGAGGTACTTGGTACTTGGCACAGGGTGAATAATACTTTTTTTTTTTTCCACACAGATGAATGAATAAATTAGTCATCTAGGGTTAAGATTTTTCCACCTCAAAATCTGACACATACACACCTATTTACAAAACCTTATAGAACCAAGTTTAGATAAAATTAATAAACTGAAAACTATCCTGTCCTTTTATATTTAGGTTGTAAATTCAATGTAGATAATGGATGGATTCTTATTATGTGTGTGTGTGTGTGTATATATATATATATATATATATATATGAATTTATTTTTTAACAGAAGCATCCAATGCTTTTTACATAAAACCCAATTTTACCCTATGCATAAAATTTACAGAGCGTGCATATGCTTGCAAATACTTCATTTTCTGTGCCCTTTATTTTACTCATAGGTTGTACGACTATGTGCCCATGTGCATGTATGTGTGTGTGTTTTTATACACATAGATGTGTGCACACGAGTCTACATGTTTGAATAGATTTTGAGAAGCAATTGTAATGCACTATTATAATTGAAGTCCAAATTGACTGCAACTATGTCAATGAGTGCTGAATCACCAGCCTCACTATTTCCTCCTTGAATAGCCTTTCCGTCATCTCCATTTTCTCGAGTAATGCTCCCTAATCCTACACTGTACCTTCACTCCCTTCTTGCCTTCTTTCCATTATGTTTATTCTTCACGGAACTGACATCAACTTTATTTTCAAACAGTGACTTCGTTTTCAATAAACCAAGCTAGAAAACCCAATTCTGTATGTATTCTGGGCTTGGTTTTTTTCTGATGTTAATTCACCATATTAAGTTTTTGTCTTGGCTCTGCACAATCTGGTGATTAGCATATATGTATAAAATAGAAAAGAGCTTTTATATTTAATGTACTTTTCATGCGCATTGAAACTCTGGGCAGAAGATGTGGGGTAAATGCAATTACTATGTAGAGTAGCATGGTAAATCTCAAATTACATGAGAAATTTACCTAGAATTAGATCAGATACATAGATGATAGGTAGGTAGATAGATAAATTTTATTTAAAATGATCGTCATCAGGAGTGAATCTCCAAAACATTGTGAAGCTGTAGAACTTATATTGGGTATTTCTTTGATTGCCTGTGCTCATCCATTCTTCCCTTTATGCAAGCATCCCCCTCTGGACCTCTCACTCTTCCTCCTCCCACCTACCCTAATGGGAATTACCCACCATGACTGCAGGCCCTCCAGGATGTGGTTCCCAATTTCCTGTCCCTCAGAGTCTCAACTGCCATTCTCTAGACCTTGTCCCTGACACCTATACTTGACATACTGTCATGTGCTGTCCTAGAGTTCTACTTACTCATTATATTCTTTTCAGGTATTTTCTTTTCGCAGGGTCACACTATGTGAAATGCTCTTATCTCCCCTGGGAGCCTGAAAAATGCAGCTTTATCTTGAAATCTCAGTTCTTCTGAGATTACCTGCTCCAGAAAGACTCTTCCAACTACACAGTGGTTATTTAGATGAAATTACCTCTATTTTCTGCCTTATCAATTCTAATATTGCACTTGCCATACTGCATTTATTTCTGCATAGAATTTTTGTGTGAGACAAAAGGAAAAAATGCACCCAATTCTCAAGCACTCCCTGTATTCTACAATGTTCCTTCACGGTGTCTGGCCGTTTTGACGCTGAGCTTGACCATGTGACTCACTTTAGCCAGTGGGATGTTAGCAAACGTGAAGTAAGCAGGGGCTTGAAATGAGCTTGTATATTGAGGCTTCTTTGCTCTTGCCTTTTGCCATTGCCAGGAGAACCTGCCCAGAGGAGCCTGCTGGAGGATGAAGGACACGTGGAGCACAGCCATGTAGCCCTTGTCATCTCAGCCGTGGCCATCCTGGACCAAATGCTCACCTGCAATGTGTTCATTATACTTGTTGTGGCAATGCATAACCAATATGGTTGCTTTGCCTGTATTTTGTGACCTCTTTGTGAGTGAGACATCTATGTCTTGATTAAGTCTCTTTCCCCCATTCCTAGAACAGTAGTTGATCTATTACATTTTGGTTGAATTGAACCTGTTGAATGCCGTTATTGTTCCTTTCTCAGAAAAAAAAATGAGTGCTGTATCTTATTTCTAACAGGCTTCTAAACAGTTTAGAACCCCTGCTTAAAGGAATTCTACAAAAAATATTGAGAACTGCATAACCTCTTTAGAGTAATCAACATATGCAAATAACCAGTTTATCTACCTCTTTAGTGAGCCTTAAACTTTGCAAGAGTATAAAAAATTATATATTTTTTCTCAATAGTCTTCATGTAATTTTCTGCACTTTTCTAAAATTGGTTGTGGAAATTGTGCCCGGTTTTAGAGTGGGGGGAACCAGCAAGTTTGGAAACATCATCAGTGTTCTTGTTTTACTCGTCTTTTAGTAAACACATTAGGTCTGGACAAAGTCTAATGTATGTGCAAGTTCAACATAAACTGCATCGATCAATTAAGTAATCTCTCCTTTTCATGTACTTGATAAAGTACTATTTCTCATATACATTTTTAGAATAAAAATTACCCATAAATTTGCAAGATCGGCAGGTATAACCAGATAAAGACAGTTTTCACTTTTGTATAAATAATGAAAGTCATGCACTCAAGATAGGGACTGTGGAAAGACTAGGAATTCTAGGATTCAGCATATTTGAGAAGATTGCTCTGGCCCCCCTCATGAAGGACTTTTCATTCAAGCTTTGAAAGATTCAATCTATGCAAGGATGTTTCTCTAAGCTGCTAGTCCAAAAGTAATAAACATCAAGCTTACGGATGGGTGTGGAAACTGAATGGCTTTGCTTTTCTTCTGAGGGATTTAATTTATTTTTAATATCACAGGTGGCTTGAGGCGAGGTGTAATCATCTGTCACTCTTCAGTTAAATCATATCACCTCACTTCTGAAATATTCTTTGATCTCTCTACCTGTAAATCACGTTCTACTTTCTCTACTATAGACTGTAGCATATAGATATAATAATGACATGACAAATTACCAAGAGCATGGAGAGTATGTCTATTTAAAAGATGATTGAAAAACACACACATGCAAATACTAACCCAGACATTTACTTTTTAATGTTTTTCTTCTTTTTTGACTTGTTACTAGAATATAAAATTATATGAAACACATACTGAAGACAAGTTTTAATTTTTTTTAATTTAAAACACATCAGGCATTTCTTTTTTACTGGCTTTATAGTTTAGGCAATATTAACACCTTACATCTGTAATTTTAGCATTTTGAATACACAGTTTTTAATGTACATTATCCATTGGGCAGATCCATAGAACAAGCTAAAACTTTCCAGATTCACATTACTTTAAAAATATTTTGATTTGCTGGGTGTGGTGGCTCACGCCTGTAATCCCAGCACTTTGGGAGGCCGAGGTGGGCAGATCACGAAGTCAGGAGATTGAGACCATCCTGGCTAACACAGTGAAACTCCGTCTCTATAAAAATACAAAAAATTAGCTGGGCGTGGTGGCGCACAGCTGTACTCCCAGCTACTCGGGAGTCTGAGGCAGGAGAATTGCTTGAACCCGGGAGGCGGAGGTTGCAATGAGCCGAGATCGTGCCACTGCGTTCTAGCCTGGCGACAGAGCAAGACTCCATCTCAAAAAAAAAAAAAAAAAAAAGATTTGTTGTCATATGTCTTAGTTAACAAATTTTCTGAGGGGGTCATTGGGTAAAGTATGCCTCACTAGATTATGTTAGGAAAAGTGATGGGACATTAATTTGTGTTATTCCAATATAAAAAGGGCCTCTTTTCTTCCCCCAATCAATCTAACTATTAAATCACTTATAAGAAACTTAAATGTCACAATAAGATACCAACTGTCTTGAATAAAAGTCATAGATGCACGCCTGTAATTCCAGGACTTTAGGAGGTCGAGGTGGGTGGATCACGAGGTCAAAAGATAGAGACCATCCTGGTCAACATGGTGAAACCCCGTCTCTACTGAAAAAAAAAAAAAAAATTAGCTGATCATGGTGGCATGCACCTGTAGTCCCAGCTACTTGGGAGTCTGAGGCAGAAGGATTGCTTGAACCCAGGAGGCGGAGGTTGCAGTAAGCCGAGACTGTGCCACTGCACTCCAACTTGAGTACAGAGCGAGACTCCGTCTCAAAAAAAAAGAAAAAAAAAAAGAAAAAAATTCATACATGGAATGCCTTTCAAGGAAACATTACCTTAAAAAAGTGTAATATTATAATAATCAAAATAGCCAAATTCATATAATTTTACAAAAAAACAAGATTTGCTGAAACGGTGAATCAAAGAAGTCATTGTGAAAACAGCTTTAGCTGCATAAATGATAAAATCTAGAAATAGGGATGAGTGTTATTGAAAAGAAGGCTTCTGTTTATATGAAGAAGGAAGTCTGAAGAGATAAGGGAAAGTGATATACTGGCTGAGTGTCCTTTATGCAAAACCCTTAGGACCAGAAGTGTTTAGGATTTAAAATTTTTTAGATCTTAGAATATTTGTATGTACCTAATGAGATATCTTAGGAATAGGACCGTCATCTAAAGATGAAATTCACATATGTTTCCTATACACTTAATACACATAGTTTGAGGGTAACTTTATGCAATATTTTAAATAATTTTGTGCATGAAACAAAATTTTGGAAAGCAAAGGTTCCACTGTCTCCACAAACCATGTGGACAGTCTGTAGTTGATTGGCATCACCATGATTTCTCACTCTGAATTTATACACTATTGATAAGCAATCATCTTCTTACACTTATTTGCACATAAGTACTTAACAGCAAAAAAATGTGACATGGTATTTTCAGCTTATTTTCTAATAAATACTTATTAGTCATATAACTGCTATCCTAATGTTTATGTTGTTAGATCAAAAAAATGAATAAGTATGTTAAAGGACCTCGGACTTCCAAAATAAATTGGTGGGCATTATTGATGTTTTATTTCTCTGAAGCCTACCAACTCCATTTCCTGATTCTTCATAGGACTTTTTGACATATTGCTTCAAACTCTTAGATCAATGACATATTAATCCCTAGATTTAAAAGAATTATTGCTATATTAGGCAGTATGCATTTAGTTGCAAGTAATAATTTTTTAAAAGGAGCTGATCAAAAGGGAATATTTATTATAAGGATACAGTCATAGTGGGCAGCAATATACTTAGGCCTCTGGAATGACCTGAGAGAGAGGACTGGACAGAAGTCTTCTCTCTGTCCTTGTGTTTCTTATCTGAATTCATTTGATTAATCAGTATCTTGATCAAAAATAAACAGCTTACTCTAACTGAGTAATTTGGGCAGAATAAAGAGACATCTTATACAGACAAGGTATAGCACAGCTCCCTGGCATAAGGAAGACCAAGGAGTCATTTCCACATCTAGGTCTGGAGGAGAAGGAGCAGAACAGAAAACGCACAGAGGAAAACTGCATGGGAAGGACACCAGCAGGTTAGCGCTGCCCCTGTATCTCAGAACTAGCAGCAGGAATACTCCTTAAGATGCCATTTTTTGGACCTTTCTTCCATTGTCTCATATCTCTTTCTAACCAGAGCTGGGAAAAGTTCTCCACTTTTCAGGGTTCATATGATTTGACTGAACACACTTAGATGACCCAAGATAATCTCTCCATCTCAATATCATGTATTCCTTTGGGTTCTGTAAAATGCAAATTGTCCTGGAATACCCAATGCTTGAAGCACTTTTTTATAAGGTGTGGTGCAGTTGTAGTGTAAGAATTTAACCCCCATGAGAGCAGAGACTGTTTTCCTTATCCTTTGTTTTGCTGTATCTTCAGGATTTAGAATAGTATTTGGCACATAAAAGGAGCAAAGTAAATATTAGTTGACTGAATGAGTGAGTGAATGAGTGGAGAGAGCAATGCCAAGAGAGAGATCTGTAGTTTTGAGAAGTAACATATAGGCAAAGAGAGAGGTTTCATCAATACAGCCCCTGCCATTATCTCTCTCCCGGATTACTTCCAAGAGTCCCACTGAGTTTTTCTGAATTGCATTAATCTCAAATCCATTCCTCATTTTAAGACTAAAATGGGATTTCTTTTGCCATGTCGAATTATTCACTTCCTTGGTTAAATTCCAACTGAGGTTTCCTTTTGCCTGTTGTATAAAATCAAGTTCTTACAACACCCTTGAAGATTGGCCCCGAGTACCTTTCTCCTCACATTGTGCTCTGCAGCTGCATTAAAAATGTTCTCTTTCCTTGCTCACCTCCTGTCCTTTCTTATCTTGAGGCCTTTGTCGGTGCTAATTCCTCTACTTTGTATGCCCTGCCATCTTGAGACACCCTTGTCTGTCATCTTTGTTTGTTCTTAATACTAAACACAGGTGCTCCACCCTCCACAAAGCTTCCCTTGACACTTAAACTCCAAGTTTGCTCCTAGAACCTCCTCTGTATAGTTTTCTACCACCCCAGAAGATGCTGCATCTTGTTTTTTGGCTGTGTCTCCTATCAACTTGATGTGGGGAAAAGCAAAGCAAAATAAAACAAAACTTTATTAGTGCCAGAAAAAAAGAATCATCAAAAGGATCACCCTTTAGAACTATATATTATACTTCCTGCTAATTCATTCCACTTTTCCCTGAGGAAATGCTATGTACACATGCATGTGTATAAACCCATTGTTATGTTAATTCAACCAATTAGTTTTTTTTTAATTTATCAGTCTCCTTTTTCCTCATGACCATCCCTAAACTCAGAATCAAATTTCCAGCTCAATTATATTTAATCTGGTATATTTCATGGTCTCTACATTTATGGGGTTTTTTTTCTCCATCTTTTCTACACAAGAACCAATCTAGTATTGGGCCCTCATTTTAATTAGATTTTTATCTTGTTTTTAATAATTCCTATATATGTGCTTTTTTGTAAATTTTAAAATCTAATTCATTAAACTTTAAGTTAGTGCTTTTTGAACACCTAGGATTGCCATAAAAAGAAACAAACACGCATAAAAAATTGGGGGGACATAGTTTCTAGAAAGGAAAATTCTTACCACTGATATTTTTTCTTTTCCGGGAGTCAATAACTCCAGCAAATAAATACTTCCAAAAGAACTGTGTTCTGTAATGTGGAAATGAAAAACAAATCTAGTTAATTCATTCAGAAGATTTTTCTGTACCTGTATTTAGGAATAAATTTGCATCTTTTACATTGGTTCCTTTTGTCATTATTGTAAATAGCCTTGGATGGTAATAACCCACTCCATTGCTCATAAAACCCATTTGATCTGTGTTTATCACTTGCTCTATAAGTAGCTCTTCATTTCTGTTTGTTGCTATCATGGTTATAAAATATACTACTATAATAGTTCTTAAACATACAATAGCGCTATAAAACAGTATCTTTGGTGGGTATTTAAGCAATTTTAATGCTGAGACAAAATAATTTAATTTCCTACCCATATGTTGAACGTTCCTTAAGGCACTAAAAAAATCTCTAAAATCCATATGCTTGAAAATATCTAAATTTCTGCCAAACTTAGTTCAGGCTTATTAGTAATTCCTAACGAGTGAAATCATTGTGATTATACAAGAAAAAATTGATTAAGGTATGGCAGCTTTCTCTACTATCCACTATTTCAGAGCTGAAAACAATACGTATATCAGATCTTGGTTCTGTGACATCTAAAAGTATCTACAACATTTGTGAGCAAGAAAATGTAGAACCTATCAAATAAACTTTGAGAACCATTAACTTGTTTTACTCTACCTGTAACACTCTCTATAGAGCTAAATTAACATTCTTTGTATTGTCATTTCAATAAAAATGTTATGACTCTTTCATAGTTAAAATCAACTTTTTAAATTTTCAGTGCTAACCATTATCACTTAATAAACAGCAGTTAGATTTTGACACCTTGATTTATTTTAAAGAAAAGTTAATATCCATTGAGATGTGAATTTTACATAAAGAGAATAAACAAAATCAGATGATTATCTTAATAGATGCAGATAAGCCTTGATAAAATTCAATATCTCTTCATGTTAAGAGCCCTCAATAAACTAGGAATTGAAGGAACATACTTCAAAATAATAAAAGCCATCTATGACAAACCCACAGCCAACATCATTCTGAATGGGCAAAAGCTGGAAGCATTCCGCTTGAGAACCACGAGACAACAAAAACCTCTCTCATCACTACTATTCAACATAGCACTGAAAGTCCCCGACAGAGCAATCAGGCAAGAGAAAGAAATAAAAGGTATCCAAATAGGAAGAGAGGAAGTCAGTCTACCCCTGTTTGCAGACATGATTCTATAGCTAGGAAACCTCATGGTCTCTGCTCCCAAGCTCTTTGCTCTGATAAACAACTTCAAAAAATTTTTTAAATGTACAAAAGTCAGGTGCAATTCCAAACACTAGCAACATCCAAGCTGAGAGCCAAGTCAAGAATGCAATCCTATTCACAATCACCACCAAAAGAATAAATCATCTAGGAATACAGCTAACCAGGGAGGCGAAAGACCTCTACAACAAGAATTACAAAACACTGCTCAAAGAAATCAGAGATGACACAGACAAATGGAAAAACATTCTATGCTCATGGATAAGAAAAAATCAATGTAATTAAAATGGCTATACTGCCCAAAGCAATTTATGGATTCAATGCTATTCCTACCAAACTAACAATGACATTCCTCACAGAATTAGACAAAACTATTTTAAAATTCATATGGAACCAAAAAAGCCCAAATAGCCAAGGCAATCCTAAGCAAAAGGAACAGAGCTGGAGGCATCATGTCACCTGACTTCAAACTATACTACAATGGTATAGTAATCAAAACAGCACGGTACTGGTAAAAACAAACAAACAAAAACAGACACAGAGACCAATGCAACAAAACAGATCACCTACAACCATCAGATCTTAGAAAAAGCTGACAAAAATAAGCAATGGGGAAGGGACACCATATTCAATAAATAGGGCTGAGATAACTGATTAGCCATACGGAGTGGTTTGAAAATGACCGCTTCCTCATACCATATATAACAATCAATTCAAAATAAATTAAAACTTAAATGTAAAACCTAAAACTATAAAACTTCTGAAAGATAACCTAGGAAATACTATTCTGGACATAGGACCTGGCAAAGATTTTATGACAGAGTCCAAAAGCAATTGCAGCAAAAACAAAAATTGATAAATGGCATCTAATTGAACTAAAGAGCTACTGCTCGGCAAAATAAACTATCAATAAACAAACAACCTATACAATGGGAGAAAATATTTACAAACTATGCATCCAACAAAGGTTTAATATCTAGAATTCCTAAGAAACTTAAACAAATGTACAAGAAAAAAATAACCCCACTAATAAGTGAGCAAAGAACATGAACAGACACTTACCAAAAGAAGACATTCATGTGGCCAACAGGAATATTAAAAAATACTCAATATCACTAATCATTACAGAAATGCAAATCAATACGACAATGAGATACCATCTCATGCTAGTCATAATGATGACTATTAAAAAGTCAAAAATTAACAGATGCTGGTGATATTACAGAGGAAAGGGAATGCTTATATACTGCTGATGGGAGTGTAAATTAGTTCAGCCATTGTGGAAAGCAGTGTGGTGATTCCTCAAAGAACTTAAAATGAAATTATCATTTGACCCAGCATTCTCATTACTGGGTATATACTCAAAGGACTACATATTGTTTTATCATAAAGGAACATACATCTGTATGTTCATTGCAGCACTATTCACAATAGCAAAGACATGAGCTCAACCTAGATTCCCATCAACAGTAGACTAGATAAAGAAAATGTGGTACACATACATATACTATGTAGCTATAAAAAAAAAAAAAAAACAATGAAATCATGTCCTTTGCAGTGACATGGGTGAAACTGGAGGTCATTATCCCAGGCAAACAAACAAAGGAACAAAAAACCAAATACTGCATGTTCTCACTTATGGGAACTAATAAATGAGAACACATGGACACAAAGAGGGGAACAAAAGAGTCTGGGGCCTACTTGCGGGTGAAGGCTAGGAGGAGGGAGAGGAAGAGAAAAAATACCTTATTGGGTACTATGCTCATTACATGGATGATGAAATAATATATACACGAAACCCCCATGACATGCAGTTTACCTATAGAACAAATTTGCAGATGCACCCCTAAATCTAAAATAAAAGTCCAAAAACGACCAAAAAAAAACAAACAGAAAAGAAGTAAATTTTGTGAAGTCTTTAGTTTATAAGTTAAATATGCTCAAAACATAAAGAAATCAAGAGTTCTAGAGTAATTGTCATTTATACAACATGAACAATGCAAACATAAATTTGAAAGCTTACATAATTCTCAAAAGAACCACAAATTATTGAAAAAATAAACATTTTCTATCCATGTAGATATTGACCAAAATTTTTATAGAAAGAGATTAATGAATAAGCTTAAATTGTAAAAGCAATCTATTGACATTTCCAAACCTATTGACTTGATTTATTCCAGTACTATAACAGTATATAAAATTATATATTCTATTTATAATAGTACATGTAAATATTACATACATAGTATTAGTTTACTACATAATGCATACAGTATTAGTTTATTATGTAAGCATATGTAACTATACATATGTAGTTATTAGTTTATTCACCAATTCAAGTATTCATCAAACTTAACAAACATGTATTTGCTTACAACTTACTCAACATCTGAAACTGCACTTCGTATCGAAGGTATAAAACTTAGCAAGGTCAGTTTTGCCTGCCAGAGCTCTCATTCATATATGGGAGCTAAATGAGTGGATCTCATGAAGATTGGTGATCACCAGAGGCTGGAAAGGGTAGCATGAAGGGAAGGTGGTTAATGGTCCAAACATACAGTTTGATAAAAGAAATAAGACGTGGTGTTTGATATATTAGCAGGGTGACTATAGTTTACAGTGATCTATAATACATTTCAAAATAGCTAGAAGAAAATAATTTAAATGTTATTAGCATATAGAAAAGACAAATATCTAGGGGGAGGAGCCAAGATGGCCGAATAGGAACAGCTCCGGTCTACAGCTCCCAGCCTGAGCGACGCAGAAGACAGGTGATTTCTGCATTTCCATCTGAGGTACCGGGTTCATCTCACTAGGGAGTGCCAGACAGTGGGCACAGGTCAGTGGGTGCGTGCACCGTGCGCGAGCCAAAGCAGGGCGAGGCATTGCCTCACTCGGGAAGCGCAAGGGGTCAGGGAGTTCCCTTTCCTAATCAAAGAAAGGGGTGATGGACGGCACCTGGAAAATCGGGTCACTCCCACCCTAATACTGCACTTTTCCGTTGGGCTTAAAAAACGGCGCACCATGAGATTATATCCCGCACCTGGCTCGGAGGGTCCTACCCCATGGAGTCTCACTGATTGCTAGCACAGCAGTCTGAGATCAAACTGCAAGGCGGCAGCGAGGCTGGGGGAGGGGCGCCCACCATTGCCCAGGCTTGCTTAGGTAAACAAAGCAGCCGGGAAGCTTGAACTGGGTGGAGCCCACCACAGCTCAAGGAGGCCTGCCTGCCTGTGTAGGCTCCACCTCTGGGGGCAGGGCACAGACAAACAAAAAGACAGCAGTAACCTCTGCAGACTTAAATGTCCCTGTCTGACAGCTTTGAAGAGAGCAGTGGTTCTCCCAGTAGGCAGCTGGAGATCTGACAATGGGCAGACTGCCTCCTCAAGTGGGTCCCTGACCCCTGACCCCCGAGAAGCCTAACTGGGAGGCACCCTCCAGCAGGGGCACACTGACACCTCACACTGCAGGGTACTCCAACAGACCTGCATCTGAGGGTCCTCTCTCTTAGAAGGAAAACTAACAAACAGAAAGGACATCCACACCAAAAACCCTTCTGTACATCACCATCATCAAAGGCCAAAATAGATAAAACCACAAAGATGGGGAAAAAACCGAACAGAAAAACTGGAAACTCTAAAAATCAGAGCGCCTCTCCTCCTCCAAAGGAACGCAGCTCCTCACCAGCAATGGAACAAAGCTGGACGGAGAATGACTTTGACGAGCTGAGAGAAGAAGGCTTCAGACGATCAAATTACTCTGAGCTACGGGAGGACATTCAAACCAAAGGCAAAGAAGTTGAAAACTTTGAAAAAAATTTAGAAGAATGTATAACTAGAATAACCAATACAGAGAAGTGCTTAAAGGAGCTGATGGAGCTGAAAACCAAGGCTCGAGAACTACGTGAAGAATGCAGAAGCCTCAGGAGCCGATGTGATCAACTGGAAGAAAGGGTATCAGTAATGGAAGATGAAATGAATGAAATGAAGCGAGAAGGAAAGTTTAGAGAAAAAAGAATAAAAAGAAATGAGCAAAGCCTCCAAGAAATATGGGACTATGTGAAAAGACCAAATCTGCGTCTGATTGGTGTACCTGAAAGTGATGGGGAGAATGGAACCAAGTTGGAAAACACTCTGCAGGATATTATCCAGGAGAATTTCCCCAATCTAGCAAGGCAGGCCAACATTCAGATTCAGGAAATACAGAGAACGCCACAAAGATAATCCTCAAGAAGAGCAACTCCAAGACACATAATTGTCAGATTCACCAAAGTTGAAATGAAGGAAAAAATGTTAAGGGCAGCCAGAGAGAAAGGTCGGGTTACCCTCAAAGGGAAGCCCATCAGACTAACAGTGGATCTCTTGGCAGAAACCCTACAAGCCAGAAGAGAGTGGGGGCCAATATTCAACATTCTTAAAGAAAAGAATTTTCAATCCAGAATTTCATATCCAGGCAAACTAAGTTTCATAAGTGAAGGAGAAATAAAATCCTTTACAGACAAGCAAATGCTGAGAGATTTTGTCACCACCAGGCCTGCCCTAAAAGAGCTCCTGAAGGAAGCATTAAACATGGAAAGGAACAACCGGTACCAGACACTGCAAAATCATGTCAAAATGTAAAGACCATCGAGACTAGGAAGAAACTGCATCAACTAACGAGCAAAATAACCAGCTAGCATCATAACAACAGGATCAAATTCACACATAACACTATTAACTTTAAATGTAAATGGACTAAATGCTCCAATTAAAAGACACAGACTGGCAAATTAGATAAAGAGTCAAGACCCATCAGTGTGCTGTATTCAGGAAACCCATCTCACATGCAGAGACACACATAGGCTCAAAATAAAAGGATGGAGGAAGATCTACCAAGCAAATGGAAAACAAAAAAAGGCAGGGGTTGCAATCCTAGTCTCTGATAAAACAGACTTTAAACCAACAAAGATCAAAAGAGACAAAGAAGGCCATTACATAATGGTAAAGGGATCAATTCAACAAGAAGAGCTAACTATCCTAAATATATATGCACCCAATACAGGAGCACCCAGATTCATAAAGCAAGTCCTGAGTGACCTAAAAAGAGACTTAGACTCCCACACATTAATAATTGGAGACTTTAACACCCCACTGTCAACATTAGACAGATCAATGAGACAGAAAGTCAACAAGGATACCCAGGAATTGAACTCAGCTCTGCACCAAGCGGACCTAATAGACATCTACAGAACTCTCCACCCCAAATCAACAGAATATACATTTTTTTCAGCACTACACCACACCTATTCCAAAACTGACCACATACTTGGAAGTAAAGCTCTCCTCAGCAAATGTAAAAGAACAGAAATTATAACAAACTATCTCTCAGACCACAGTGCAATCCAACTAGAACTCAGGATTAAGAATCTCACTCAAAACTTCTCAACTACATGGAAACTGAACAACCTACTCCTGAATGACTACTGGGTACATAACGAAATGAAGGCATCCTTGATGAACATTGATGCAAAAATCCTCAATAAAATACTGGCAAACCGAATCCAGCAGCACATCAAAAAGCTTATCCACCATGATCAAGTGGGCTTCATCCCTGGGATGCAAGCCTGGTTCAATATACGCAAATCAATAAATCTAATCCAGCATATAAACAGAGCCAAAGACAAAAACCACATGATTATCTCAATAGATGCAGAAAAGGCCTTTGACAAAATTCAACAACCTTTCATGCTAAAAACTCTCAATAAATTAAGTATTGATGGGACATATATTTCAAAATAATAAGAGCTATCCATGACAAACCCACAGCCAATATCATACTGAATGGGCAAAAACTGGAAGCATTCCCTTTGAAAACTGGCACAAGACAGGGATGCCCTCTCTCACCACTCCTATTCAACATAGTGTTGGAAGTTCTGGCCAGGGCAATTAGGCAGGAGAAGGAAATAAAGGGTATTCAATTAGGAAAAGAGGAAGTCAAATTGTCCCTGTTTGCAGACGACATGATTGTATATCTAGAAAACCCCATTGTCTCAGCCCGAAATCTCCTTAAGCTGATAAGCAACTTCAGCAAAGTCTCAGGATACAAAATCAATGTGCAAAAATCACAAGCATTCCTATACACCAACAACAGACAAACAGAGAGCCAAATCATGAGTGAACTCCCATTCACAATTGCTTCAAAGAGAATAAAATACCTAGGAATCCAGCTTACAAGGGAGGTGAAGGACCTCTTCAAGGAGAACTAGAAACCGCTGCTCAAGGAAATAAAAGAGGATACAAACAAATGGAAGAACATTCCATGCTGATGGATAGGAAGAATCAATATCGTGAAAATGGCCATACTGCCCAAGGTAATTTACAGATTCAATGCCATCCCCATCAAGCTACCAATGCCTTTCTTCACAGAATTGGAAAAAACTACTTTAAAGTTCATATGGAACCAAAAAAGAGCCCGCATCACCAAGTCAATCCTAAGCCAAAAGAACAAAGCTGGAGGCATCACACTACCTGACTTCAAACTATACTACAAGGCTACAGTAACCAAAACAGCATGGTACTGGTACCAAAACAGAGATATAGATCAATGGAACAGAACAGAGCCCTCAGAAATAATGCCGCATATCTACAACTATCTGATCTTTGACAAACCTGAGAAAAACAAGCAATGGGGAAAGGATTCCCTATTTAATAAATGGTGCTGGGAAAACTGGCTAGCCATATGTAGAAAGCTGAAACTGGATCCCTTCCTTACACCTTATACAAAAATCAATTCAAGATGGATTAAAGACTTACATGTTAGACCTAAAACCATAAAAACCCTAGAAGAAAACCTAGGCATTACCATTCAGGACATAGGCATGGGCAAGGACTTCATGTCTAAAACACCAAAAGCAATGGCAACAAAAGGCAAAATTGACAAATGGGATCTAATTAAAGTAAAGAGCTTCTGCACAGCAAAAGAAACTACCATCAGAGTGAACAGGCAACCTACAGAATGGGAGAAAATTTTCGCAACCTACTCATCTGACAAAGGGCTAATATCCAGAATCTACAATGAACTCAAACACATTTACAAGAAAAAAACAAACAACCCCATCAAAAAGTGGGCGAAGGACGTGAACAGACACTTCTCAAAAGAAGACATTTATGCAGCCAAAACACACAGGAAAAAATGCTCACCATCACTGGCCATCAGAGAAATGCAAATCAAAACCACAATGAGATACCATCTCACACCAGTTAGAATGGTGATCATTAAAAAGTCAGGAAACAACAGGTGCTGGAGAGGATGTGGAGAAATAGGAACACTTTTACACTGTTGGTGGGACTGTAAACTAGTTCAACCATTGTGGAAGTCAGTGTGGCGATTCCTCAGGGATCTAGAACTAGAAATACCATTTGACCCAGCCATCCCATTACTGGGTATATACCCAAAGGACTATAAATCATGCTGCTATAAAGACACATGCACACGTATGTTTATTGCGGCATTATTCACAATAGCAAAGACTTGGAACCAACCCAAATGTCCAACAATGATAGACTGGATTAAGAAAATGTGGCACATATACACCATGGAATACTATGCAGCCATAAAAAACGATGAGTTCATGTCCTTTGTAGGGACATGGATGAAATTGGAAACCATCATTCTCAGTAAACTATCCCAAGAACAAAAAACCAAACACCACATATTCTCACTCATGGGTGGGAATTGAACAATGAGATCACATGGACACAGGAAGGGGAATATCACACTGGGTTCTGTTGTGGGGTGGGGGTTGGTGGGGAGGGATAGCATTGGGAGATATACCTAATGCTAGATGACGAGTTAGTGGGTGCAGCACACCAGCATGGCCCATGTATACGTATGTTACTAACCTGCACAATGTGCACATGTACCCTAAAACTTAAAGTATAATAATAAAAGAAAAAAAAAAAAAGAAAAGACAAATATTTAAAGTAATGGATATCCCTTGGGCTAGGGGAGGGATAGCATTAGGAGAAATACCTAATGTAGATGACGGGTTGATGGGTGCAGCAAACCACCAAGGTGTGTGTATACCTATGTAACACACCTGCACGTTCTGCACATGTATCCTACAAGTTAAAGTATAATTTTAAAAAAGTGATGGATATCCCAAGTTACACTAATATGACCTTTATACATTATATGACTGTATTCAATTACCATGATGTACATTCACTACTCATTAATACAAATTTTTTTAAAGAAAATAAAATAGATATTTAAAATGTGGTATGATAAGTACTGTAACAGTGGATGGTAGATCTTCCAAAACTTACTAGTTCCTTTTCAGTTTGGCATCTACTTCTTCATTTTGTTAAAATAAAACATAATTGAATATTTTTGTGTTTATCTTAATGATATTGTAATTTACGATTTTTACAAGTATGCAACTTTATGATTTTAATAAACCTTACTTAAATATTATTGTAGCCAATTAAGTAAAGCTAATCCAGACATCTATGCATCAAGTTTGTTATAGGTGGTGACACACTGTAAAAATGTGTACACATTTATGTAACAATGGAATTAAGTTTTTAATTTATTCCTGCTGGTGGATAATAACAGGAAGTCAGGGAGATGGAGGCACAGTTGCTATCTATCCAGTCACATATTGTTTGCGACTAAGCACCATTCAAGAGACCTTCTTTCTGCCTCATTAAATAAGTTAATCATGTAAATCACAGATAAAATTTGAGAATATATGGATATAGTTTACACATAAATGATGTATTTTTATTGCTGAGAATAAAAACAGATGTGACAATGCCCAGGTGTCAGTCACAAAATATTATCATTCTTTAGTATCTAATATGAATGAATGGAAAATTAAAAGGTCAAATTGAGATATATATATGTATGTGTATATATATATAATCTGTAGAACATAATCACCAATACAAATCATTCTCCATAATTAAAATAAGTCTAAGTAGCTCAACTGCTGTGATAAGAATTTAAAATGAGCCACATATCATATCTGGAAATGGCATTGAGAGACTTTTTAAACAGAAGCTCCAAAAATCCATCATTTTATGAACAAAATGTCTATTAATATAGGTTTAGTGAGTTCATGACTCATGTCATGGCTAAATCCTTTTTATTTTTCACAGTCCCTCAGTACTCCACAAACCTTCTACTGTTGCCAGCAGTATTAGTAGTGTGGCCAGACAGAGGATGCAACACCTGAAAGATTGATGCAGAACAACTAAATAAATGGAAAGGCAAACGTAAACATGATCATTTCAAAGCAAATAATTACAGTCATGTCTCTGGAGGCAAATATTGGCGCAAATTTGTCTTTTCAATCAGTTTAACATGCTTTAAAAAACTTCTCTTTCGATTTTGTTTGATCCATGGTTATTTAGGCATATCTTATTTAGTTTCAAATACTTGGGGATTTTCCACATATATGGTTACTCATTTGGAAGTTAATCGTATTGTGGTCAAAGAACATACACTGCATAATTTTAAATGTTTTAGATTTGTTGAGACTTACTTTGTGGCTTAGAATATGGTCTATCTTGGTAAACGCTTTGGGTGCCCTTAAAAATAGTGTGTAATCTGCTGTTGTACAGTGGGGTGTTCCAGAAATGTCAATTAGGACAAGTGGATTATGTTGTCGTTTACCTCTTTTATATCCTTACTGATTTTCTCTCTGTCCTGTCAGTCATTGAGACATGAATCTTGAAATCTCTAACTGTAATTGTGGAATTGTCTGTTTCTCATTGCAATTCTATCATTTTTGACCCATGTATTTTTCTTAATTTTTAGGCACATAAGCATTTATCCTTCTGATAAATTGACCCTTTTAACCCATGGTAATATTGTTTGCTCTGAAATCTACTTTGTCTAATATTAAGATAGCCCACACAGCTTTTTGTTGTTGTTGTTGTTTAATGCTGGCATAGTTTGTATTTTTTTTTATTTCTTTAATTTTAACATATTTGGGGATAGCAGATTAAGATGGCAGATAGGAGACAGGACTAGCCTTGTAGCTCACGCTTGGAGGAACAGAGCAGGATGTGGAGGCTCACATCCTCAACTTTTGCTCCAAGAACTACTGCAAGAATGTACCAGGAAAGCTAAGAGAATCCACACACCCTTTGAAAGAATTGGATCATTGCTGCAGGCTCCCTGAGACACTGAAAACCTGTGAGTCTGCTTGCTTTTTCAATGGGGAGGTTCCTGGTCTGGGGCCAATTCTCAGCCCTGCTCACTGGTTGCCTGGAAATAGACTCGGTGCTGCTGTGGGGTCACGGTGGGAGTGAGACCAGCCTTTAGGACTGCAGGCTGCTGGGAGCAGGGTGAGGCCTGTGACTGCTGGCTTTCCCCTACTTCCCTGGCAACCTGGATGAGTAAGCAGAGGCAGCCATAATCACCCTCGGAATATAACTCCATTGGACTGAGAACCACACCCCGTCCTCCACATGAGCTGAATGAAGCAAGCCCCGCCCAAGGAGAGACTGAATTCAGATATGCCTATCCCTGCCCCTACCCTGTGGTCTTTATCTACCAGCCCTGGTAGCTGAAGACAAAGGTCATAATCCCTTGGGAGCTGTATGGCCCTGTCTACCACCTGAGGAACCTGAATACTGAACCAGGTGTCCCTAGGGCAAGTTTGCATCCTGCGCACAGGACCACAGATAATGGGCTCTTGAGAGCACCACCTCCTGGCTGGAGGCCGACCAACACAAAACCAGCACATTAAACAAAAACACAACCAAGGACCCTCACAGATTCCACTTCACTCCCCTGCTGCCTCCACCAAAGCAGGCGTTGGTATCCACAGCTGCAAGACCTGAAGGTGGATCACATCACAGGGCTCTTTGCAGACATGCCCCAGTACCAGCCTGGAGCCCAGTAGCTCCGCTGGGTGGCTAGACCAAGAAAAGCAAAAAGTATCACTATAGTTTGGCTCACAGGAAGCTCCATTCCTAGGGGAAGAGGGAGAACACTACATCAAGGGAGCACCCTGTGGGACAGAAGACTGAACGGCAGCACTTGAATCTTAGATCTTCTCTCTGACATAGAGAAGGAACCAGAAAATCAATTCTGGTAACATGACAAAACAAAGTTCTTCAAAACCTCCAAAAGATCATGCCAGCTCACCAGCAATAGATCCAAAGCAAGACAAAATTTCTGAATTGCCAGAAAAAGAATTCAGGTCAATTATTAAGGTAATCAAAGAGGCACCAGAGAAAGGCAAAATCAAACTTAAATCAAAAACATGATATAGGATATGAAAGGAAAGTAATTCATCCAACTTGCCAGTCTTTGTCTTTTAATTGGGTCATTTAGCCTGTTTACATTTAAGGTTAATACTGTTAAGTGTGAATTTGATCCTGTCGTTATGATGCTGCCTGGTTATTTTGCCCATTAGTTGACGCAGTTTCTTCATAGTGTCGATGGTCTTTACAGTTGGTATGTTTTTACAGTGGCTGATAGTGGTTTTTCCTTTCCATATTTAGTGCTTCCTTCAGGAGCTCTTGTAAGGCAGGCCTGGTGGTGACAAAATCTCTCACCGTTTGTTTTTCTGTAAAGGATTTTATTTTTCCTTTGCTTATGAAGCTTAGTTTGGCTAGATATGAAATTCTGGGCTGAAAATTCTTTTCTTTAAGAATGTTGAATATTGGCCCCCACTCTTTTCTGGCTTGTAGGGTTTCTGCAGAGATATCCACTGTAGTCTGATGGGCTTCCATTTGTGGGTAACCCAGCCTTTCTCTCTGGTTGCCCGTAACATTTTTTCCTTCATTTCAACCTTGGTGAATCTGATGGTTATGTGTCTTGGGGTTACTCTTCTCAAAGAGCATCTTTGTGGCATTCTCTGTATTTCCTGAATTTGAATGTTGGCCTGTCTTGCTAAGAGTCAAACACATCGGTGGGCTGTATTTAGGAGACTCATCTCATGTGCAAAACACACATAGGCTCAAAATAAAGGGATGGAGGAATATTTACCAAGCAAATGGAAAGCAAAAAAAAAAAAAAAAAAAAGTACAGGGGTTGCAATTCTAGTCTCTGATAAAACAGACTTTAAACCAACAAAGATCAAACAAAGGCTAAGAAGGGTATTACATAATGGATCGATGCAAGCAACAAGAAAAGCTAACTATCCTAAATATATATACACCCCATACTGGAGCACCCAAATTCATCAAGAAAGTTCTTAGAGACCTACAAAGAGACTTAGACCCCCATGTAATAATAGTGGGAGACTTTAACAGCCCACTATCAATTTTAGACAGATCAATGAGACAGAAAATTAACAAGCATATTCAGGACTTGAACTCAGCTCTGGACCAAGCAGACCTAGTAGACATCTACAGAACTCTCTACCCCAAATCAACAGAATATACATTCTTCTGAGCACCACATCACACCTATTCTAAAATTGACCACATAATTGGAAGTAAAACATTCCTCAGCAAATGCAGAAGAATGGAAATCATAACAAACAGTCTCTCACACCGCAGTGCAATCAAATTAGAACTCGAGATTAAGAAACTCACTCAAAACCGCACAACTACATGGAAACTGAACAACATGCTCCTGAATGACTACTGGGTAATTAACGAAATTAAGGCAGAAATAAGTAAGTTCTTTGAAACCAATGAGAACAAAGACACAATATAGCAGAATCTCTGGGACAAAGCTAAAACATAGTTTAGAGGGAAATTTACAGCTCTAAATACCCACAGGAGAAAGCGGGAAAGATCTAAAACTGACACCCTAACATGATAATTAAAAGAACTAGAGAGACAAGAGCAAACAAATTCAAAACTAGCAGAAGACAAGAAATCACTAAGATCAGAGCAGAACTGAAGGAGATTAGAGACACGAAAAACCCTTCAAAAAACCAATGAATCCAGGAGCTGGTTTTTATAAAAGATCAACAAAATAGACCAGTAGCCAGACTAATAAAGAATAAAAGAGAGAAGAATGAAATAGACACAATAAAAAATGATAAAGGGCATATCACCACTGATCCCAAAGAAATACAAACTACCATCAGATAATATTATAAACACCTCTATGCAAATAAACTAGAAAATCTAGAAGAAATGGATAAATTCCTGGACATATACACCCTCCCAAGATGAAAACAGGAAGAAGTCGAATCCCTGAATAGACCAATAACAAGTTCTGAAATTGAGGCAATAATTAATAGCCTACCAACCAAAAAAAAAAAAAAAAAGCATGGGATGAGACAGATTCACAGCCAAATTCTACCAGAGGTACAAAGAGGAGCTGGTACCATTCTTTCTGAAACTCTTCCAATCAATAGAAAAAGAGGGAATCGGCCCTAACTCATTTTATGAGGCCAGCATCATCCTGATACCAAAAACTAGCAGAGAAACAACAAAAAAAGAAAATTTCAGGCCAATATTCCTGATGAACATCGATGCGAAAATCCTTAATAAAATACTGGCAAACCAAATCCAGCAGCACATCAAAAATCTTATCCACCACGATCAAGTTGGCTGCATCCCTGGGATGCAAGGCTGATTCAACATATGCAAATCAGTAAACGTAACCCATTACATAAACAGAACCAATGACAAAAACCACATGATTATTTCAATAGATGCAGAAAAGGCCTTCGATAAAATTCAACAGCTCTTCATGCTAAAAATTCTCAATAAACTAGGTATTGATGGAACATACTCAAAATAATAAGAGCTCTTTATGACAAACCCACAGCCTATATCATACTGAATGGGCAAAGGCTGGAAGCATTCCCTTTGAAAACCAACACAAGACAAGGATGACCTCTCTCACTACTCCTATTCAACATAGTACTGGAAGTTCTGGCCAGGGCAATCAGGCCAGAAAAAGAAATAAAGTGTATTCAAATAGGAAGAGAGGAGGTCAAATTTTCTCTATTTGCAGATAACTTGATTGTATATTTAGAAAACCCCATCATCTCAGCCCAAAATCTCCTTAGGCTGATAAGCAACTTCAGCAGTCTCAAAATACAAAATCAACATGCAAAATTCACAAACAATCCTATACACCAATAATAGACATACAGAGAGCCATATCACGAGTGAACTCCAATTCACAATTGCTACAAAGAGAATAAAATACCTAGGAATCCAACTTATAAGGGATGTGAAGGACCTCTTCAAAGAAAACTACAAACCATTGCTCAAGGAAATAAGAGAGGACAAAAACAAATGGAACAACATTCCATGCTCATGGATAGGAAGGGCCAATATTGTGAACATGGCCATACTGCCCAAAGTAATTTATAGATTCAATGTTATTCCCATCAAGCTACCATTGACTTATTTCATAGAATTAGAAAAAACTACTCAAAATTTCATATGGAACCAAAAAAGAGCCCATATAGCCAAGACAATCCTAAGCAAAAAGAACAAGGCTGGAAGCATCACGCTTCCTGACTTCAAACTATACTACAAGGCTAAAGTAACCAAAACAGCATGGGATTGGTACCAAAACAGATATATAGACCAATGGAACAGAACAGAACAGAGGCCTCAGAAATAATGCCACATATCTACAACCATCTGATCTTTGACCAGCCTGACGAAAACAAGCAATGGGGAAAGGATTCCCTATTTAATAAATGGTTTTTGGAAAACTGGCTAGCCATATGCAGAAGACTGAAACTGGAACCCTTCCTTACACCTCATACATAAATTAACTCAAGATGGAATAAAGACTAAACATAAGACCTAAAACCATGAAAACCCTAGAAGAAAACCTAGGCAATACCATTCAGGATATAGGCATGGGCGAAGACTTCATGACAAAAACACCAAAAGCAATGACAACAAAAGCCAAAATTGACAAATGGGAGCTAACTAAACTAAAGAGCTTCTGTACAGCAAAAGAAACTATCATCAGAGTGAACAGGCAACCTACAGAATGGGGGAAAATTTTTGCAATATACTCATCTGACAAAGGGCTAATATCCAGAATCTTCAAGGAACTCAAACAAATTTACAAGAAAAAAAAAACAACCCATCAACAAGTGGGCAAAGGATATGAACAGACATTTCTCAAAAGAAGACATTTATGCAGCCAACAGACACACGAAAAAATGCATGTATGTTTATTGCGGCACTATTCACGATGGCAAAGACTTGGAACCAACCCAAATGTCCAACAATGATAGACTGGATTAAGAAAATGTGGCACATATACACCATGGAATACTATGCAGCCATAGAAAATGATGAGTTCATGTCCTTTGTAGGGACATGGATGAAATTGGAAATTATCATTCTCAGTAAACTATCGCAAGGACAGAAAACCAAACACCGCATGTTCTCACTCATAGGTAGGAATTGAACAATGAGAACACATGAACACAGGAAGGGGAACATCACACTCTGGGGACTGTTGTGGAGTGGGGGGAGGGGGGAGGGACAGCATTAGGAGATATACCTAATGCTAAATGATGAGTTAATGGGTGCAGCACACCAGCATGGCACATGTATACATACGTAACTAACCTGCACATTGTGCACATGTACCCTAAAACTTCAAGTATAATAATAATAAAATTTAAAAAAATTAAAAAAAAAGAAAGAAAAAAAAATGCTCATCATCACTGGCCATCAGAGAAATGCAAATCAAAACCAAAATGAGATACCATCTCATCCCAGTTAGAATAGCAATCATTAAAAACGTGGGAAACAACAGGTCCTGGAGAGGATGTGGAGAAATAGGAACACTTTTACACTGTTGGTGGGACTGTAAATTGGTTCAACCACTGTGGAAGAAAGTGTGGCAATTCCTCAGGGATCTAGAACTAGAAATACCATTTGACCCAGCCATTCCATTACTGGTTATATACCCAAAGGATTATAAATCATGCTGCTATAAAGACACATGCATGCATATGTTTATTGCGGCACTATTCACAATAGCAAAGACCTGGAACCAACGCAAACGTCCAACAGTGATAGACTAGATTGAGAAAATGTGGCATATATACACCATGGAATACTATGCAGCCATAAAAAAATGATGAGTTCATGTCCTTCATAGGGACATGGATGAAGCTGGAAACCATCATTCTCAGCAAACTATCGCAAGGACAAAAAGCCAAACATCGCATGTTCTCACTCATAGCTGGAAATTGAACAATGAGAACACTTGGACACAGGTAGGGGGACATCACACACAGGGCCTGTTGTGGGGTGGGGGGAGTGGGGAGGGATAGCATTAGGAGATATACCTAATGTAAATGACGAGTTAATAGGTGCAGCACACCAACATGGCACATGTATACATATATAACAAACCTGCACGTTGCGCACATGTACGCTAGAACTTAAAGTATAATAATAAAAAAAAAAAGAGAAAAACAACCCCATCTAAAAGTGGGCAAAGGATATGAACAGGCACTTCTCAAAAGAAGACATTTATGCGGCCAACAAACATGAAAAAAAGCTCATCATCACTGTTCATTAGAGAAATGCAAATGAAAACCACAATGAGATACCATCTCACACCAGTTAGAATGGCGATCATTAAAAAGTTAGGGAACAACAGATGCTGGAGAGGATGTGGAGAAATAGTAATGCTTTTACACTGCTGGTAGGAGTGTAAATTAGTTCAACCAATGTGGAAGACAGTGTGGTGATTCCTCCAGGATCTAGAACAAGAAATACCATTTGACCCAGCAATCCCATTACTGGGTATATACCCAAAGGATTATAAATCATTCTACTATAAAGACATATGCACACATATGTTTATTGTGGCATTATTCACAATAGCAGACTTGGAACCAACCCAAATGTCCATCAATGATAGAATGGATAAAGAAAATGTGACACATATACATCATGGAATACTATGCAGCTATAAAAAGAATGAGTGAAAAAATATGTCCTTTGCAGGGACATGGATGAAACTGGAAACCGTCATTCTCAGCAAACTAACACAGGAACAGAAAGCCAAACACCACATGTTCTCACTCATAAGTAGGAGCTGAACAACAAGAACACACGGACACAGGGAGAGGAACATCACACACTAGAGCCTGTTGGGGGTGTAAGGGGCTAGGGGAGGGATAGCATTAGGAGAAATACCTAATGTAGATGATGGACTGATGGGTGCAGCAAACCACCATGGCAAGTGTATACCTATGCAACAAACCTGCGCATTCTGCACGTGTATCCCAGAACTTAAAGTATGATAAAAATAATTAAATAAGTAGAGTTTGATCAGTAGTGGGAGTGGAGAGTGGACCTCAGAGAGCCCTGAGCAGCCCCACTTCTGCCGCTGGTCTAGTTACCATCACTCCCGGGGAGGAGCCACAGCTGCTGCAGCAGGACCCAGTCACCATCACCGCACCCATCAGCAGGGCAGAGACCCAGCACCCACCTGCCACCCCTCCCCCACCATTCTCGCACCCCCGCCCCTGCCACTCAGCTTCACCGACACCAAGCCCAGCAATATGGGGAGCGGTGCAAGGACTGGTGAGATTTTTAAGAATTTCATTTTTAATTTGTACTAAAAGCTTACAAATTGGTGATTTTTTTCAAAAAAGTCAGCAAACTGCAAGCACCTGTTAATAAAGGTCTTAATAAATTATCAAATAAATAAATAAAATGGAAAAAAGAAAGGAACATTCTTCAGTGAAGTAGACAGCATAAACAAAAAGAAATCACAACTTCTGGAAATCAAAGACACAGAGAAATGCAAACTGCACTTGAAAGTCTCAGCAAGAGAATCAAATAAGTAGAAGAAAGAACTTCAGAGCTCAAAGACAAGCCTTTTGAATTAACCCAATCCAACAAAAACAAGGAAAAATGAATTAAAAAAAATGAACAAGGCCTTCAAGAAGTTTGGGACTACGTTAAACATCCAAACCTAAGAATAATTGGTTTATTCAGAAGAGAAATATAAAAGTTTGGAAAACATCTTTGAGGGTATAATTGAGGAAAACTTTCCCAGCCTTGATAGAGATCTAGACATCCAAATACAAGAAGCTCAAAGAACACCTGGGAAATTCATTGCAAAAAGATCATCACCTAGGCACATAGTCATCAGGTTATCTAAAGTCAAGACAAAGGAAGAATCTTAAGAGCTATGAGGCAAAAGCATCAGGTAACCTATAAAGGAAAACCTATCAGATTAACAGCAGATTTCTCAGCAGAAACTCTATGAGCTAGAAGGGACCTGGGTCCTATCTTTAGCCTCCTTGAGCAAAACAATAATTAGCCAAAAATTTTGTATCCAGTGAAACTAAACTTCATAAATGAAGGAAAGATACAGTCTTTTCCCAGTAAACAAATGCTGAGAGAATTTCCCACTACCTAGCCCTCACTACAAGAACTGCCAAAAGGAGCATGAAATCTTAAAACAAATCCTCAAAATAGAACCTCTTTAAAGTGTAAATCTCACAAGAGTTATATAACAATAACACAGTAGAAAAAAAACCCAAGTTATTCAGACAACAAACAGCACAATGAATAGAATAGTACCACACATCTCAATACTAGCATTGAATGTAAATGCCCTAAATGTTCCACTTAAGATACAGAATGGCAGAATGGATAAGAATTCAGCAAACAAGTTTCTGCTGTCTTAAGGAGACTCACCTAACACATAAGGACTCACATAAACTTTAGGTAAAGTGGTGGAAAAAAGATATTCCACACAAATGAACACCAAAAGTGAGCAGGAGTAGCTATTCTTATATCAGACAAAACAAACTTTAAAGCAAAAGCAGTTTAAAAAGACAAAGAGGGACATTATATAATGATATAAGAAATAGTCCAACAGGAAAATATCACAATTCTAAATATATATGCACCTAACACTGGAGCTCCCAAATTTATAAAGCAATTACTACTAGACCTAGGAAATGAGATATATGGCAACACAATAATAGTGGAGGACTTTAATACTCCACCGTCAGCACTAGACAGGTCATCAAGACAGAAACTCAACAAATGAACAATGGACTTAAACTATAGCCTACAACAAATGGACTTAACAGAAATTTACAGAACATTCTACCCAACAATTGCAGAATATACATGCTATTCACCAGCACATGGAACATTCTACATTCTCCAAGATAAACCATATGATAGACCACAAAGCAAGTCACAGTAAATTTAAGAAAACTAAAATTATATTAAGTATTCTCTGAGACCACAGTCGAATACAATTGGAAATCAACTCCAGAAGAAACCCTCAGAATCATGCAAATACATGGAAATTAAATAACCTGCTCCTGAATGATTCTTGGGTCCACAATAAAATCCAGATGAAAATTTAAAAAAATTTGAACTGAATGATAATACTGACACAACCTATCAAAACCTCTAGAATACAGCAAAGGTGATGCTAAAAGGAAAGTTCATAGCATTAAATGCCTACATCAAAAAGTCTGAAAGAGCACAAATAGACAATCTAAGGTCACACATCACAGAACTAGAGAAACAAGAACAATACAAACCCAAACCCAACAGTAGAAAAGAAATAACAAAGATTGGAGCAGAGCTACGAAATTGAAACAAACAACAACAACAAAAAAGATAAATGAAACAAAATCTCGTTCTTTGAAAGGATAAATAAAATTGATAGATTATTAGTGAGATTAACCAAGAAAAGAATAGAGAAGATTCAAATAAACTGAATTAAAAATGAAATGGGAGATATTACAACTGATACACAGAAATACAAAAGATTATTCAGGGCTACTGTGAGTGCCTTTAAACACATAAACTGGAAAACCTAGAGAAGATGAATAAATTCCTGGAAATATACAACCCTCCTAGATTAAACCAGGAAGATATACAATCTCTGAATATACCAATAAAAAGCAGTGAGATTGAAATGATAATTTAAAAATTGACAAAAACTGTATGTGACCAGATGGATTCACAGCTGAATTGTATCAGACTTCACAGAAGGATTGGTACCAATGCTATGACACTATTCCAAAAGATAGAGAAAGAGGGAATCCTACCTAAATCGTTTTATGAAGCCAGTATCACCCTAATACCTAAACCAGTGAAGGATGTAACAAAAAAAGAAAACTTCAGACCAATATCACTGATCAATGCAAAATCAATGCAAAAATCCTCAAAAAATTATGACAAATCCAACAGCATATCAAAAAGATAATCCACTGTGATCAAGTGGGTTTCATACCAGGGATGCAGGAATGGATTAACATCTGCAAGTCAACAAATGTGATACACTACATAAATAGAATTAAAAACAAAAATCACATGATCATCTCAATAGTCACAGAAAAGCGTTTGACAAAATCCAGCATCCACTTATGATTAAAACCCTCAGCAAAATTGGCCATAGCAAAATAGGACATATAATAAGGTAATAAAAGCCATCTATGACAAACCCACAGCCAACATTATACTGAACGGGGAAAAGTTGAAAGCATTCCCCTAAGAACTGAAACATAATAAGGATGCCCATTTTAACCACTTCTATTCAACATAGTACTGGCAGTCCTAGCCAGAGCAATCAGACAAGAGAAAGAAATAAAGGGCATCCAAATTGGTAAAGAGGAAGTGAAACTTTGCTGTTTGCTGATGATATGATTGTATACCTAGAAAATCCTAAAGACTTGTACAAAAAGCTCCTACAAAGGGTAAATAAATTCAGCAAATTTCAGGATACAAAATTAATGTACGCGAATCAGTAGCTCTTCTACACACCAACAGCAACCAAGCTAGGAATCAAATCAAGAACTCAACCCCTTTCACAATAGCTGCAAAAAAGTAAAAATACATAGGAATATATCTAAACAAGGACGTGAAAGAACAACAACAAAACACTGCTGAAAGAAAACATAGATGACACACACAAATTGAAACACATCCCATGCTCATGATGAGGAGAGTCAATATTGTGAAAATGACCATACTGCCAAAAGCAATCTATAGATTGAATGTAATTTCCATCAAAATACCACCATCGTTCTCCACAGAACTAGAAAAAACAACCCTAAAATTCATATGGAACCAAAAAAGAGCCCACATAACCAAAGCAGGACTAAGCAAAAAGAACAAATCTGGAGGGATCACATTACCTGACTTCAAACTATACTATAAGGCCATAGTCATCAAAACAGCATGGTACTTGTATGAAAAAGGGACAGAGACTAATGGAACAAAATAGATAACCCAGAAATAAAGCCAAATACTTACAGCCAATTGCTCTTCAACAAAGCAAACAAAAGCATGTAGTGGGGAAAGGACACTCCATTCAACAAATCGTGCTGAGATAATTGGCAAGCCACATGCAGAAGAATGAAACTGGATCCTCACCTTTCACCTTATACAAAAATCAACTCAAGATAGATCAAAGACTTAAATCCAAGATCTGAAACCAGAAAGATTCTAGAAGATAACATCGGAAAAACCCTTGTAGACATTGACTTAGACAAAGACTTCATGACCGGGAACTCAAAAGCAAATACAACAAAAACAAAGATAAACAGATGGGACTTAATTGACTAAAAACCTTCTGCACAGCAAAAGAAATAATCAGCAAAGTAAACCGACAACCCACAGAGTGGGAGAAAATCTTCACAATCTATATATCCAACAAAGACTAATATCCAGAATCTACAAAAAACTCAAATCATCAAGAAAAGAAACAATCCCATCTAAGAGTGGGCTAAGGACATGAACAGACAATTCTCTAAAAAAGATATACAAATGGCCGACAAGCATATGGAAAAATGCTCAATATCACTAATCATCAGAGAAATGCAAATCAAAACCACAACTCAATACCACCTGCCTCCTGCAAGAGTGGTCATAATGAAAAAAATCAAAAAAATAATAGATGTTGTTGTGGATGTAGTGAAAGGGGAACACTTTTATACTGTCGGTGGGAATGCAAACTAGTACAACCACTAGGGCAAACAGTGTGGAGATTCCTTAAAGAACTAGAAGTAGATCTGCTGTTCGATCCAGTAATTCCACTTCTAGGTATCTACACAGAGGAAAAAAGTTATTATATGAAAAAGATACTTGCACATGTTTATAGCAGCACTATTTGCATATTTGCAATTGCAAAAAAATATTAGATCAGCCCAAATGCCCATCAATCAACGAGTAGATAAAGAAAATGTGGTACTGTGGTATACATATATCCCAGGGGATAACACTCAGCCATAAAAAGGAGCAAAATAATGACATTCACAGCAACCTGGATGGAATTGGAGACTATTTTTTAAGTAAAGTAACTCAGCAATAAAAAACCAAGCATCATATGTTCTCACTCATATGTGGGAGCTAAGCTATGAGGCTGCAAAGGGATAAGACTAATACATCAGATTTTGAGGACTCAGGGGAAAGGGTGGTGGGTGGTGAGGGATAAAAGACTACACACTGGGTACAGTGTACACTGCTTGGGTGATGGGTGCACCAAAATCTCAGAAATCACTGCTAAGGAACTTATTCAGGTAACCAAACACCACCTGTTCCCCAAAAACCTATTAAAAAAATTTTTTTTAGAACAAAGAAAAACCAACAACATATTTGGATATTTATATTTCAGGTGGGTTTCTTATAGACAGCATATAGTTGAGTCTTGGTTTTTAATCTTAACAGTCTCCTATTTTCAGTTGAAATTTTTAGGCCATTTCTATGTAATGTGAATATTGATACGGTTGCTGTTTGCTTTCTATTTGTCCCATTCTTTTCTTTGTTCCTGGTTTCCTCTTTTTGACTGCTCTTGAATTAATTTTGTTTAATGATTCCAATTTATCTCAATTTTAGCTTATAAACGATAACCTTTTCAGTATTATTTAGTGATTGCTTAGGATTTATAGTACACGTACATATTTTTCTTATTTTTATTTATACATAACAGATGCACATGTTTTCAGGGTACATGTGATAATTTGATACATTCATATAATGTATAAAGATCAAATTAGGGTGTTTGGGATATACATAACCTTAAATGTATATATGTACATATACATACACACATATAACCTTAAATTTAAATGTATATAGAGAGACAGAACCTTAAATATATATATATTTGTTAAATATATTTGTATAAATAAATAATTTGTTATATATATTTATATATAAATATGTATTTGTTATATATATATTTAAGGTTGTGTGTGTATACATATATATGTTTAAGGCTGTATGGCCATATATGTGTGTGTGTGTATCTATATATATATATATTTGAGGTTATGTATATTCCAATTACCCTAATTTCATCTTTATAATCTTTAAATATATTTTATAATCTTTAAAATGTATATTAATTTGTAAATCTAATTATAAATCTTTATAATTTGATCTTTAACATATACATATATTTTAATGCTAGGAACACTTGAATCATTCTTTTCTAGATAATTTGAATGTACAATAGATTAATGTTAACTATAGTCACCTTAGTGAACTATCGAACATTAGGTCTTAGATCTTTTATCTAACTGTATATTTGTCTTTTTAATCAACCCTCCTCCACCTCCCCTTCTCAGCCTCTGGTAACCACCAATCTTCTCTCTCTCTTCATGAGGAGATCTATCACTTTAGCTCACACATATATGTAAGAACAGGCAATATTTGTCTTTCTGTGCTTGACTTATTTCACCTAGCGTAACAACTCCCAGTTTCATCCATGTTACTTCAAATGACAGGATTTTATTCTCTTTTATAGTTGAATAATATTCCATTGTGTAAATATTGCAGATTTGCTTTATCCATTCATCCATTGATGGACACTTAAGTTGATTCCCTTTTTTTGGCTGTTGTGAATGGTGCTTCAAAATACGTGACTACAGGTATCTCTTTGATAGATTGATTTCCTTTCTTTTAAATATATACCTACTAGTGGAATTGCTAGATCATACGGTAATTCTATTTTTAAGTTTCTGAAGAAACTCCCTGCTGTTTTCCATAATGGCTGTACTAATAATTTACATTCCCACCAACAGTGTACCAGGTTTCCCCTTCCTCAACATCTTTGTCAGCATCTGTTACTTCCAGTCTTTTTCATAAAAGCATTCTAACTGGGGTGAGATAATACATCACTGTGGTTTTGATTTGCATTTTTTATGATCAGTGATGTTGAGCTTTTTTTTATATATACCTCTTGGTCATTTGTATGTCTTCTTTGAGAAATGTTTTAGATTTTTTGCCCATTTTTAATAAGATATTTTGTGGGGTCTTTTTGGGTGTTTGTTTGTTTGCTATTGAGTTTTCTGAGCTCCTTGTGTGTTCTGGTTATTCATCCCTTGTCAGGTGGTTACTCTGTAAATATCTTCTCCTATTCTGTGGGTTGGTTCTTCACTTTGTTGATTTTTTCCTTTGGTGTATAGAAGCTTTTTAGCTTGATGTGATCCCATTTGTTTATTTTTGCTTTTGTTGCCTGTGCTTTTGAGATTTTACACAAAATATCTTTGTCCAGAAAAATATACTAGAACATTTCCCTAACGTTTTCTTTTAGTAGTTTCATAGTTTCAGGTTTAGATTTAAAACTTAGATATGATTTTTAATACATTTTGATTTTTTATGTGGTGAGAGATAGGGATCTAATTCCATTTTTCTGCTTATGGTTATTCAGCTTTTGAAGCACCATTTTTTGAAGAGACTGTCTTTTCCTTATTGTATGTTCTAGGTACCATTGAGTTGGGTATAAATGTATGGATTTATATCCAGTTTCCTTATTCTGTTCCATTGGTCTATGTATCTGTTTTTATGCCAGTACCATACAGATTAACTATAGCTGTCTTGTATATTTTAAAGTTAGGTAGTATGATGCCTGCAGCTTTGTTCTTTTTGTTCAGGATTGCTTTGACTATTCTGGGTCTTTTGCGGTTCCATATAATTGTTTTTTCTATTCCTTTTCTTTGTTTTCTTTTTGAGACAGACTCTCACTCTGTCACTCAGGCTGGAGTGCAGTGGTGCCATCTCGGCTCATTGCAACCTCTGCCTCCTGTGTTCAAGCAATGCTCATGCCTCAGCCTCCCAGTGTAGCTGGGATTACAAGCATGCACCACCATGCCTGGCTAATTTTTGTAATTTTAGTAGAGTCAGGGTTTTATCATGTTGGCCAGGCTGCTCTCAAACTCCTGGCCCCATGCAATCTTCCCACCTCTGCCTCCCAAATGCTGGGATTACAGGTGTGAGCCACTGTGCTCAGCCTGTTTTTTCTATTTCTGTGAAGAATATCCTTGGTATTTTGATAGAGATTACATTAAATCTGTAAATTGCTTTGAGTAGTATTGTAATTTTAGCAATATTCAGTCTTCCAATCCATGAGCTTGGAATATTTTTTAAATGTTTTATATCCTCTTCAATTTCTTTTATCAATGTTTTAAACGTTTCCTTGTATTGATCTTTTACTATTTCTTTGGTTAAACTGTTTCCTAGGTATTTTATATTCTTTGTAGATATTGTAAACGGGATTGCTTTCTTGATTTGTTTTTCAGATTGCTTTTTGTTGGCGTATAGAAATGCTACATTTGTATGCTGGTTTTTATATGTTGGTTTTTGTATCCTGCGACTTTACTGAATTTGTTTATTGATTCCAATGACTATTTTGCAGAGTCTTTATGTTTTCCAAATATAAGATTAAGTCATCTGCGCATAAAGCCAATTTGACTTCTTTTGTCCTAATTTGGATGCCCTTTATCTCTTTCTCTTGCCTAATTGGTCTTGCCAGGACTTTCAGTATTGTGTTGAAAAAAAGTGAAAGTTTTGATAATATGATGTATGTCATTTATTGACTTGCATATATTAGACAATTTTGCATTCTTGGGATGAATCTCACTTGACTTATTTCACCTGGCATGAATATCATGGTGAATTATCTTTTTAACATGCTGTTGAATTCAGTTTGCTATTATTTCATTGAGGATTTTGCATTTATTTTCACCAGTAATATTGACCTGTAGCTTTCTTTTTTTGTGGTGTGTTTTTCTGGTTTTGGTATCTCAGTAATCCTGGCCTTATAAAATAAGTTTAGAAGTATTCCGTCATCTTCAATTTGTTTAAAGACTTTGACTAGAATTGGTTCTGTGTTTAATGTTCGGTAGAACATCAGGTCCTAGGCTCTTCTTTGATGAGAGACTTTTTATTATGACTTCAATCTTGTTACTCATTATTGGTTTATTGAGGTTTCCTATTCCTTCATGGTTCAATCTTGGTAGGTTATATGTGTCAAGAAATGTATTCATATCTTCCAGGTTTTCCAGTTTATTGGTGTATAGTTGTTCATATGTCTCTAACGATTCTTTGTATTTCTGTAGTTAGTTGTTATGTCTCCTTTTTCATTTCTAATTTTACTTAATTGGGTCTACTCTTTTAATCTTAGTATAGTTATAGGTTTGTTGATTTTGTTTATCTTTTCCAAAAACCAACTTTTCGTTTTATCGACCTGTTTTACTTTTTGTCTCAATTTCACTATTTTTCTGCTCCAATTTTTATTACTTCTTTCCATGTACTAATTTAGGTTTTGGTTTATTATTGCTTTGTCAGTTCCTTAAGAGCCATCATTAGCTTGTTTATCTGAAGTCTTCACACCTCTTTGATAAAGTCATTTATGGCCATAAACTTCTATCATTTGTTGTATCCCATAGATTTTTGTATGTTGCATCTCCATTTCCATGTGGTTCAAGAATTTTTATAATATCCTTTTTAATTTCTTTATGACCCATTGATCATTTAGGAACATACTGTTGACTTTTTATGTGTTTCTGCAGTTTCTGAAGTTCCTCTTGTTATTGATTTCTAGTTTGAGTCCACTGTGGTCAGAAAAGACACTTGTTCAGATTTATGCTCTTAAATGTTTTGAGTCTTGTTTTGAGGCCTGATACATGGTCTATCCTGGAGAATGTTCCATGTACTTATGAAAAGAATGTATATTCTGATACAGTTGGGTGAAATGTTATGGGTCTAGTGTGTAGTTTAACTCAGATGATTATTTGTTGACTTTTTTGTCCACTACTGAAAGTAGGGTGTTGATGTCCCCTACTCTTACTATACTGAAGCCTGTCTTTGCTTAACATTAGACTTACTAATGTTTACTTTGTACACACGGATGCTCCTGTGTGGGGTGCATAGATGTCTATACGAGTATATCCTCTATCTGAATTGATCCCTTTATCTTTATATTCTGACTTTCTTTGTCTCTTTTTACAGCATTTTACTTGTAGTCTATTTTATCAGTTGTAAGTATAGATATTTCTGCTATTTTTGGTTTCCACTTTCACAGAATGGCTTCTTCTATCTCTTCACTTTCAGTCTGTGTGTGTGTTTATAGTAAGGTAGGTTTCTTCTAGATAGTATTTAGTTGTCTTTGTTTTCTATCCAGTTAATCACTCTGTGTATTTTTATTAGAGAATTATCTCCACTTATATTCAGTGTTATTATTGATGAATAAAGGCTTATTATTGCTATTTTGTTGCTTATTTTCTGGCTGTTTTATAACTCATTTTTTTCTTTTCTTCCTTTTTTTACGGTCTTCCTTTGTGGTTAAGTGTTTTTCTCTGGTAGCGTGTTTTAATTTGTTGCTTTTTATTTTAAATCTGTTTTAAATTTGTTGCTTTTTGTTTTCTCAGTTTACATATTTTATATTGCCTATCTCTTAATGGTTGCTGTAATTATTACTGTTTTCGATAGATTAGTTTTTTCATCTTCATAGTAGAGTTACAAGTGGATTGCTCATCACAATTACAATATTAGAGTATTCTAGGTTTGTCTGTGTACTTAATTTTACCAGTGGATTTCTACCTGTATTTTTTATTTCTTTTTGCACATTAGCGTTTTTTTTTTTCTTTCAGTCTGAAGAACTCCCTTTGGCTTTTAAGACAGGTCTAATAGTGGTATATTTTCTCAGCTTTTGTTATCTAGGAAAAACTTTATTTCTCACTCATATTTGAAAAATAGCTTTGCTGGATACAGTATTCCTAGATGGCATTTTTTTCTTTCAGTGTTGGTTCTTATAGGATATGTTTGCTTAGAGATTATTTGTAATTTTTGAATTTTTTCATTTTTATCATCTTGGGATTCTGGATATTTTAGTATTAATATGAATATTATTTCAGTTCTGAGATACAATTAAAATTATTTGCAAACCAGTTTGATCTCTTTGCATCTTGCTTTTAAGTTTTGTTTAGCAGATCACAGAAGTGCTTAGTTTCAGTCTAATTTTTCCCCAATATGGACACAAAATGTTATGAGGACTCCACTCAATGACCTGTGAATTATGAGGCATGGTTCTTTCCTTAACTCAGGTAGTTTTGTCGGGTAAAGACTCAAAGGGATCCTCTTCAGATCTCTGGAGTGCTCTGCCTATGCAGTCTTTCCATTTCCAGTACTCTGCCCTATAAACTCATGCTGCTTTCACTTTCCAGGACTTTCAACAATGAATTTCTTCAACTCAGAGATACCTCAGGATCCTACCTAATATGTTGTCTCTTCACCATGTCCTAGGGAATCTCTAGCCAGTAAGATCAGGCAAACTTGAGCCTCAACTAATTTTTTTTTTTTTTATTTCTCAGAGCAGTATCCTTCATTGGCTGATATTCAATGTCTTAAGAATTGATGTTTGATACATTTTATTTGGTTTCTTACTTTGGTTTTCATTTTGCTTTTTATTTTAGTTGTTTTAGGCATAATGGTAAGCCCAGTCTCTATTAATCTTGTCCTGAAGTGGATGCTTGAAAAATCACTGGAATTGTGTATCAATCTTAAACTACATTTTGTCTCCTAGAGCAGAGTTTACTTATGGTTATTCATTTTTCAATTATGAGACTCGATTTGTCATGTAAGGAGTGATTTTCTTTTTTCCCAACTTTTATTTTAAGTTCGGGGTATGTGTACAGAATGTGTACGTTTGTTAGTTAAATGTGTGCCATGGTGGTTTGCTGCATAGATCATCCGATCACCTAGGTATTAAGCCCAGGATTCATTAGCTATTTTTCCTGATTCTTTCTCTCCTCCCACTCCTCACCTTCAAACAGGCCCCAATGTGTGTTGTTCCCCACCATGTGTCCATGTGTTCTCATCATTCAGTTCCCACTTATAAGTGAGAACATGCAGTATTTGGTTTTCTGTTCCTGCATCAGTTTGCATGCTGGTGAGGTTGTGGAGAAAAAGGAATGCTTTGACACTGTTGGTGGGAGTGTAAATTAGTTCAAAAATTGGGGAAAACAGTGTGGCAGTTCCTCAAAGTGAAGACCTAGAGGCAGAAATACTATTTGACCCATTACTGGGTATATACCCATAGAATGTAAGGAATTATTTTCTAATGGTTAATCTGATTACTATTTTAGGATGTAGCCACACAATTCTGGGAATTTCATTTTTATTGAAAACCTTTTGACATGTAGTCCCTAAACTGGAAGTTCCTTTTGCACAAAGAATTTGACACCCTTCTCAGACATTTTTTTCTTGAGAGCTGTCTAAGCACCATGCAAGAGGCTTATTATATACTCAAAAGTCACAATATGCCTCATAATTTTTTTTCCTCAGGAAAAATATTTTTCAAGGTATCAGTCTTAGAAGAGTCATTCAGGGAGAATGATTTCCTCTGTCAATTCAATGTATATTGAAAAGAAAAAAAAGAGTGTGATATAACTTGAGAAGACACAAAGTGTAGGCAACATTTATGTGGCAACATGGCACTGACTATTCAATCTTTATTGATAGCTAATGAGTTTTACCGGATGTCTACTTGGCTTATCATAGATTATTAGAGTTGGCTTGGTTTATTGTGTCCAATCAGGATGGATTTGCAATCTAATTAATTTGTTCCTCACCCCTGTTGACCTTCAAGGGAATAAACAGAAGGAAATTCCTAGATCATTGAATCACTGCTTTCACCACTACAGAGTCATTCTTCTGCATGCAGATTGAATATTAAAAAATAAACAGCTTCACAGGTGTTTATTTAGGGTGCTGTGAAAGAAACCAAGAGAAGAGCTAAGGAATTTTTCTGTTTATCCTTTTCTCCAATAATTTCATGGACAGGTAAATCTTTAAAACACCTCTCAAAAACACCTTAATTTTTTTTTAAAATAATGTGACGAAGCAGCTTTTAGTTATTTAGCATTTCTAATCTTGCAATCTGACTTAGTGGAAAATCACTTTGTTTTCTTCATCTCAGGTTTCAAACCAAAAATATAGCCATAATGTGTTCTGCTTTTGTATAGACTGCATAAGATAATATTTATAAAAATCACTGTGAAACACAGACCACTCATCCTATATATAATATACTACGACAATAATAGGTGTTGTTGCTGAATTATTCTATTTTCAATGTTTACTATGATGGTTGAACACAAAGCTTGAGCCTATTACGTATAATTTTTTTATAAAATACTCTAAAAGAAGAATCAATACATGAGAAAAAAATTAAACTTTGACTTCAACATAGTCTGTATGGCAGTGAGGATAAAATGGCTAAAAGAAAAAACAAGCAATATTTGCTAACAATAGAAGAAAATATCCTGGAATCCATTTTTTTTCCTAGCAATAGAGGGTAACTCTAGAAGTTTTTTTTTTCTTACCAAAATGCCAAGAATATACAGCAGAGCAAAAAGCATGCAAAGCACAGAAGCTGCTTTCAGAGTATGTCACAGCAGCTGCATTTTGAAAAGAGTTGAAGAAGTAAAAAACCTGAAATTTTAGTATTACCCATCTCTATATAGTTATGAGTTAATCATAATTCTCTTAAGACTGTAACTTGAACTATTATACAGAGAGATTTAAAAGTCTTTGAAAATAAATATTTGCGAACAGTGTGATTCAGAATACAAAGAAAGATATTTATTTTCCTTTAGCAATAATCAACTGAGTGTTAATAGTCCTTGGAGAGGCAGAACATTTACAAATTCCTTCATAGAATATTTTAAAAATAATAAAAGCAAGTTCCATCTACACTTAGAATATAGGTTCATTGGCCGGGTGTGGTGGCTCACTCCTGTAATCCCAGCACTTTGGGAGGCCGAGGTGGGTGGATCACCTGAGGTCAGGAGTTTGAGACCAGCCTGGCCAACATGGCGAAACCCGGTATCTACTGAAAAAAAAAACAAAAATTAGCTGAGTGCAGTGGCAGGCGCCTGTAATCCCAGCTACTCGGGAGGCTGAGGCAGGAGGATCACTTAAACACGGGAGGCAGAGGTTGCAATGAGCTGAGATCGCGCCATTGTACTCCAGCCTGGGAGACAGAGCAAGACTCCGTCAAAAAAAAAAAAAAAAGAAGAAGAAGAAGAAGAAGAATATAGGTTCATTGTTAGGTAGACTTTATAAACGTTTTTTATCCCTTTGCTCTCTGTTTTAATCATAAGAATTAGTGATCCTACTCCTTTCCACAGTGACTCCTTGCACTTCTCTCTTGAATATAACAGTCAGTCCTTGCAGGGCACTTACCCAGCAGTCAGGTGATCTGTTCTTCACGAGTTTTATTTCACTTGAACCTCTCAATAACACTGAGGTATTGATAGTACTATTATCTCCCCATTTGGCAGACTTGACACTGAGGCCAACAGAGGCTAAGTAATGACTTGGTTCATGCAGTTGAATAGTGGGAGAGTGAGGATTAAACCACAAACCCTGTGGTTATAAACACGATGAGATAACGCTTTGTTATATAAACCGAGCCTCTCACTCTGTGACCTTTCTCAGACCCTACTCCATCCATAATTGTTCTCTCCACTCTCCTGACCTTCTGTCACTCTCTGTCCCTTTGCTTTCTCCATCTTTAGTGGCTCCTTTTGCTCAGCCATATATTAAAGCTTTTATGTTTTTCAAAACTGCAGTAATACCATCGTTCTTACCCTCCAGCTCCAACTCCTTCCTCTGTGCCAAGGTCCTCACAGCAATGGTCACTTGGCCTCCATTTCCACTCTTCTCATTTATTTTATCTCACCCACCATGAAACTGAAAGTGTACTCTTAAAATAGAGTAATAAATTTCTGATTTCTAGTTTTATTTCAGTTCACATTCTACTCTAATTGTATACAAAATTTGGCAATTTTTACCGCAATATCTTCCCTCCTTTTTTTTTTTTTTATTTTTAGAGATACGGTGTTGTTCTATTGCCCAGACTGTAGTGCAATGGCTCAATCATAGCTCTCTGCAGCCTCAAACTCCTGGGCTGAAGGGATCCTCCCACCTCAACTTTCCAAAGTGCTGAGACTACATGCGTGAGCCACTGTGCCTGTCCAATATCTTTCTTTTTCTTTTTCTTTTTCTTTTTTTTTTTTTTTTTTTTTTTGAGACGGAGTCTTGCTCTGTCACCAGGCTGTAGTGCAGTGGTGCAATCTTGGCTTACTGAAACCTCTGTCTCCCAGGTTCAAGGAATTCTTCTGCCTCAGCCTCCAGAATAGCTGGGACTACAGGCATGTACCACCAAGCCCAGCTAATTTTTGTATTTTAATAGAGACGGGGTTTCACCATGTTGGCCAGGATGGTCTTGATCTTTTGACCTCGTGATCTGCCTGCCTCAGCCTCCCAGAGTGCTGGGATTACAGGTGTGAGCCACTGCTCCCGGCCTGGCCAATATCTTTCTCTAAAGTCTCTTCTTCCTTTCCTTTTTACTCCTGATTTTCTTTCTATGTCAGTTCATTTATTTTTATTTTTTGTCCTCTCTCTCCCCTTAAGTGTTTATGTTTTAAGATTTCTGACCTTTTTTCTCTCTTCTCTCCTTGATCTATCAAGAATCATTAATCCACAAACAAGAAGAGTCCTAAATTTCTATCTCTAGCCCTGACTCTCACCTCAGCATGGGATTCGTATTACAAACAGTACAGTGGACATCAGCACCTAAATGCTATGTGGGCTTCTCAAATATTTCCAAAACCAAACACATGATCTCCCACTGCCCTCAGAAATGTCCCTTTCTTCTTCATTTTCTATGTATATGAGAATGACCATTCAGTTATCTAAGCATAAAACTCAAGACCCTTCTCAGTTAGTTAAAATATTTAAAGTGTTTAGAAAAGACCCTGCACATTATAAACACTCAATAATTCTTAGTTAACACTAAAATTGCCTTTACTAGTTAACAGTACTATTTGCCATTGACTTCTCACTCTTCCTCACTTACTATATCCAACTGAACTCCCGTCATGACAATTCAATCCCTACTAAGTCTCTGGACTTTTGATTTCTCCTTCCTTTTTCACTGCCACTGCTTTAGTTCTTTCAGGCTGTCCATTTTCAAACACCAGAGCTGGTCTCCCTGACTTCAGATTCTAACCATTCCCATTACATTTTCTCACTGCCTACAGAGTTATCTTGCTAAAACTCAAGTGGGGTCAGGCACTCTCTGTGATAAGTTCATGTAATTGTACCACGTAAGGCCTTTCCCAATCTAAACACAAGCTACCCTGCCAGTCATGCCACTTGGCATTTAGCCGATGACACCTTCCATGCTGTGCTCCAGTTAGAACTGCTTCTCAACCCTAAGACTGACCATGCCCCGACATATTATACTCTTTTTATACCTATGCTCTATGCCTTCTCTTTCTGCCTGGAAAACTCCTACTTCAATCTTAAATCCTATTAAAACTTTTAACTGTTAATCTTGATTTTAAACATTACTCTTTCCCTACCTAGCTCCCTGTACACTTCCATCCCTACCCCAGTCAGGCAGAACAGGGTACTGTCTCCTCAGGGTTTCTATTTTGTAAATTTGTAGAAGCCCATTTTTATAACACAAAATCTTAAATAATTGTTTCCACAATATCATATTTTTACAATATTATGTTTATTGTCCAGTAATTATGTAATAGCTAATCATAACTCCAACGTATCTTGAAGGAGGAGCTTCAGGTTTGTTTATATTTTTATTTTCAGAACGATTCTTATATTTGACACACAACAAATTCCTAAAAACTGCTTGTAAAGTGAATGAAGTAAAACAATTCTTACATTTCACTTTCTCAGCCAACCTACTCTTTGATTATAATTATGGTAGATACTGCTTTTATAACCCACTTCATTCCTCACATCCTTTACATTTATACCCCAAATATAAATTGGTAGGAATTCTCTAAACCATTCAGTGTCTCATTTTCCTTACCTGTAAAATGCTGAAACTACTTTATAAGGTTGTCATGGGATTTATACCATTTATATACAAAAAACAATTAGAATATAACAGGTATCTGATTAGCATCTAATACAATTAACTATTACTATGATTACTCTTGTATTCGAATGTTCCTTTTTCCTCTGATACATTTGTGTGCAATGCTCCCTATGTTTGGATGATAATGTTTTCTTAGTTTTCCCACATAAAAGGGAGAGATCAGTGAATCCCTTTATAAGATAAAAGACATATGTAATTATATTAGTCTATTCTCACAGTGCTATAAAGAAATACCTGAGACTGGGTAATTTATAAAGGAGAGAGGTTTAATTGACCCACAGTTCTGCATGGCTGGGAGGCCTCAGGAGACTTACAATCATGGCAGAAGGCAAAGGAGAAGCAGGCACCTTCCTCACAGGGTGGCAGGACAGAGTAAGTGCAAAGAGAGGAAATGCCAGACCCTTGTAAAATCATCAGATCTCATGAGACTCACTCACTATCACGAGGACAGCATGGGCAAAACTGCCCCATGATCCAATTACCTCCGCCTTGTCCTGTCCTTGACGTGTGGGGATTATGGGGATTACAATTCAAGGTGAGATTTTGGGTGGGGTCACAGCCAAACCGTATCAATAATTAAGCCCTAAAATGCTCTTTGGTTAGAAATGATGAGATTTGTTCTTAGGGTAGTAAGAATTATTCTTATGTTATTATTTTGTTATTATAAGAGCAAGAATTTTTAGTCCAATTATTACAGTCTCCTTTTAAACAAACACTTTATAAGTGGCTTTTGATTATCGCACCATTGTAAAGGGATACCAAAGGAAACCTGAGGATAAGGAGTGAGATGCTTGCTCTTATTTTCACACTGGCAGCTAAACAGACAAACTACTTTCTGCTTTTTAAGTGCTCGCCAGTTAAAGCTGCATGTGAGCACTATTGGTTTTTATTTGTTTGTTTGTTTTACTTCACTGTTTTTTTCAAAGTACTTTATGCTCATTAACCTATTTTCTATGTGGATATTCCAATTAAATATTAGAACAAAAAGTTGTTTACTTTTAAGTTTCTTTTAGGAGAATGAAAGAAACTCCCAAATTTCTGCATTAGAATCGAATTAAAATATAGAAAAGAAATTTATCTGTGAGTTCCCCCAGCTCTGCAAGATACGAATCATCTCTCATCACTCACTTTTTCAGGCCTCAGGATCAAACTAGTGCCAGAGGAGGACCAGGTGACTTTTTTTCTGAGGGAGAGAAGTAATGGGAGCCATTGTCATTCCTCTCACTTTTTAAATGGATTGAGCTGCCATGGGAGCTATTTGTCAACAAAAACAGACCAGAACTCATTAGTTAAATACAGATCATGTGAGATTCAGGGAGCAGCATATGGAGGGGTATAATGACAAACTTAAAAACAGCCATTTGGTTACAAATTGTCTTAATATTAATAGTTACATTCTACCATTTAGTTACTACTTCCTAAATACTGCTATTTACCCATAATACGTAATAAAAAACTAAAAGATCGTGAAAGGAGGAGAGAAACAACGAATATACTAAAGTTGTTATGGAAAATCTTCGTAGACTTACAGATATTACACACATATGCATGTGGCAAAAATACTTTTTTTCCTTTCTGTCCACATTGTTTCAAAACTTTCAGGTGAATTTTTAATTCATTCATTCATATTTTTTTCTTCTATTTACAAAACAAACATACATTTTGCAGCCATTAAGTTCCAGGGCCTCCGGCAGGCAAAAGAAACTAAAGGCCAATAAAATTGTCCTCGAGAAGCTTGTATTTCTTATGCAGTGATTTTCAAAGCATGTTCCTTAGAGCAACTACATGAGACGTACCATGGGAATTTGTTAATAATGCAGGCACCTGGATTGACTCCAAATTATAATTTCCGTGCATGAGCTTCCAAAGTCTTTATGTTTAACAAGCAACCTAGTTAATTCTTTTGCTTTTAAAAAATTTGCACACTGATCTAACTGCTTTGCTCCACTAAGTGTGGTCTGAGAAAGGACAACGGTATCTACATTTCTCATTCCAATTATATCCAAATTAGAGTCTTTTAACTTGTCATCCAGTGGTTCACATGTACTTCAAAGTCTAAAGAGTAATAATCTAGTCTATATGATTTCTGGAGCCAACCATATAATGATATTATGTGGAATGGTTGGTGTGTGCTGTGGGAGACACACCTAAAAAGTTCTCCAGAACTTGAATCCTACCATCACATATTATTCTATTTTTAACATTTCTCAGGTGAATCTGTTTCAACTACTATATTTTACTTGGGTTTCTTATTTTTGTTTGTTTATTTCTATTGGCACTGAAAATTTAAGGGATAGTGATATGTAGTTTAAGATGGGTTATCGTCTGGATATTTGCCTGGTGGAGGGGCATATGAACAATGAATATGAATTGATACAAATACACCACAAGTCAGAGTTAGCACAACATATCTTCATTCATCCACTTCTTTATTTTACTCAGCAAATATTTATTTATTTATTATTTTATTTATTTATTTATTTATTTATTTTTTGAGATGGAGTCTCGCTCTGTTGCCCAGGCTGGAGTGCAGTGGCGCCATCTTGGCTCATTGCAAGCTCCGCCTCCCGGGTTCACGCCATTCTCCTGCCTCAGCCTCCAGAGTAGCTGGGACTACAGGCGCCCGCCACCACGCCCGGCTAATGTTTTTTTTAACAGATTTTTGGTAGAGAAGGGGTTTCAACGTGTTAGCCAGTATGGTCTCTATCTCCTGACCTCGTGATCCGCCCACCTCTACCTCCCAAAGTGCTGGAATTACAAGCATGAGCCACTGCACCCAGCCTCAGCACATATTTATTAGGCTTCTTCTTTGAGCCAGGGATTTAGATAGTATTTAAAATAATAATAAAAGCAAATATTTACTAACCACTTTTACTACGTATTGATGAGTCTCCTTAATTGTCACATAAGTTACTGCATTTAACTGTCACAACCCTGTAATGGAGGGACAGTGATTACTCTCGCTTTACAAGTAAGGAAGCTGAAGCCCAGAGAGGTAGAATAACTTGCTCAGAGTCACCGAGCTAGAATGGATTTTATTGGGAACTTAAATACGTATCTCTTTCATCAGAGCCCTTCCTTTTAACCTCTATGCTATCCTAATGCTCAGATTTCTGGGACTCAGATCACCGAAGCCCTTAATCAAACAAACCTGTGAAAAATTTATGGTGAAAATATTACATATGAGGCAAACAGGAGGGTCAATGGAAGTATGGAAGGAAGCAAGAATTCACGAGGAGACAGAGAAGGCCAGAAGATGCTTCCAGGGCACATGGACAGAGAAGGACAGTGGTATCCTAGCCTTATGGAGCAGAATGCACAACGGCAGAAAGCATGAGAGAACACACTGGGTGTAGGGAACTTAACATTTCTTGGTTTTGCTGGAGGGTGAGTTTTGAGACAGGGGAGAAATTGGAAATGATGGACAGAAAGTAAAGGATCAGATATTGAAGAGAATGATATGTCCTGCTAAGTATCTGACATTTCTCTTATAGGTGATACAAGTCTATTGAATAATTTTGAACTGATAAATTATTATATTTTGCTTCAGATAAATTAATTGTCAAACATAGTGAAATCTTTTAAATAACAATAACTCCAAATGGTTTGTTACTGCAAATTGTAGTCTTCTGAGGGAACATATAAAAGAAACAGCTGTGTTTCTGAGAGAGTTTGTAGGCATTCTGACCCCAAGGAAAGGGTAAGCATGACATGTTTTCTTATACCAGAGGTCAAGACCTTCCCAGTGGTTTGTTTTTGACCTGGAAAATTTTGTGTGCACATTTTTTTCCCTCAGTCAGTGACATTATTCTTGCAGAGCAGGTGCATTCGAAAAATTATTTTGTGTTAATCTTTTATAAGCATGAATGATTTTTAAGCCATCATTTAAAAAATTATTCCTAGGTTTTTTGGTAGTTTTGGGTTCTAAAGACTGCATATTGTTAGGCACAATAATTAATTGTGACGCACTCTACCCACAAAGAAATGTATACACCCATCAGCAAGTCTCCATTGGGCCATCAAGTCGTCTGCCTGCCTCAGCCTCCCAAAGTGCTGGGATTACAGGGGTGAAACACCACACCCAGCAGCCTCAGGAAACTTTCAGTCACGGCAGAAGGCGACAGGAGAGCAAGCTCACCTTACATGGCCCATACAGGAGGAAGACTAAGGGAAAAAAATGTGCACACAAAATTTTCCAGGTCAAAAACAAACCACTGGGAAGGTCTTGACCGCTAGTATAAGAAGTAATTTTACTAGAAGTAATGCTTTAATAACAACACCAACTCCAAGTACTCAACAACATGATACTTATAAACCTTTACCTGATTAAGCCATCCAATTAGCCGTTCAAAGACTGTGTAAATACAGACATAGATGATGTCTGGGGGATTACAATTTGACATGAGATTTGGGCAGGGACACAGGTCCAAACCATATCACCAGGTGATCACAGAAAACCAAAAAAGAGTAGGAATATTTAATGTAGACATGGTCATCTGTGGGTAAAGTCCTTCTTCATATCCTATTTATTTAACCCTCCTCAGAGTTAGCAGGGTTAGTCACACACTCATATGTACCTTTTTCTAGAAAAAAATAAATATTTCTAAAAGTTTGAATTAAGTGAACTAAATTATAGTTGACTAATTTTTAAAAATAGAGTAAACAGTCACAATTTGGAGCACAAACCAAGAGGAAAGAAGAAGGACTTTACCCACAGCTGACCATGTCTGCATTAAACATTCCTACTCTTTTTTGGTTTTCTGTGATCACCTGGTGATATGGTTTGGGCCTGTATCCCTGCCCAAATCTCATGTCAAATTGTAATCCCCAGCATTGGAGGTGGGGCCTGGTGGGAGGTGACTGGATCTTGGGGGTGGATTTCCCCCTCAGTGTTGCTCTTGTAACAGTGAGTGTGTGCCGTGAGATTTGGTTGTTTAAAAGTGTGTAACACCTCTCCCCTCACTCTCTTCCTCCTGTATGGGCCATGTAAGATGAGCTTGCTCTCCTGTCGCCTTCTGCCATGATTGAAAGTTTCCTGAGGCTGCCGGGTGTGGTGTTTCACCCCTGTAATCCCAGCACTTTGGGAGGCTGAGGCAGGCAGATGACTTGAGGTCACAAGTTTGAGACCAGCCTGGCCAACATGATGAAGCTCCGTCTCTACTAAAAATACAAAAATTAGCCGGGCATTGTGGTGGGTGCCTGTCATCCCAGCTACTCAGGAGGCTGAGGCAGGAGAATCACTTGAACCCGGGAAGCAGAGGTTGCAGTGAGCCGAGATCAGGCCACTGCACTCCAGCCTGGGCGACAGAGCCTAGCTCAAAACAAAAAAAAAAAAAAAAAAAAAGTTTTCCTGAGTTCTCCCCAGCCATGCTTCCTGTACATCCTGCAGAACCATGAGCCAATCAAATCTCTTTTCTTTATAAATTACCCAGTCTCGGGTATGTCTTTATAGCAATGCCAGAATGAACTAATACACCTGGCGAATGGAATTAAGTTACACGATGATGCAATTTAACTAAATTTCAAGGGATACGAACCCTGCTCACATTGATACGATTTCTGGTATCTACTACTTGTAGCATATGAAACAAATAATCATTGGCTTCTTACTCTGTGGTTAGCCTGGCATTAACCCAGGAGAGGAGGGTTCTTTGTCATTCTCCCTAACTATGAGATATTGCTTATGAGGTAGCATAAAGCAGAGATCTCCAGCTTAGTGATTTTTTTTATGACCCAAATCAGGATACCAACTTAAGCATTTCAGCTCTTATGCATTAACAATCTGTATTCTATGTACATTTTTCATAGTAACAGCAATTTTGTGGTGTTTCCTTATTCTTCCCTTTTGTATCACAGTGGAGCCCATTCACTCTGTTTTTCCACACAGTATATCTTTCTAGGTCACACCCTTGCTGCCTCAAGAATTTTAACAAGAGTTATAAATCTGCAGTGTCCAGATACCTGGAAATCTCTTGCTGACCTTATCCTTCATCATTTTAGCATGAGAATTTGGTATGACTTTGAGTAATGTTGTGATTTAAGAAAGCATATTACAGAAATAGGTGGTGCCCTTTGTAACACAACAAAAATGCCATGAGCCCACAGGTCCTCTGTCAATAGGCCATTCTGTTGGTTGTTGGTTTTCCAGCTGTAGAGATGTCATTAAGATGCTTCTACTTCCTTTTCTCAAATTAAACTGTTTTTCTATCTTATCTTTTTTTTTTTTTTTTTTTTTTGCAATAAGTAACCTGTGTTTTATTGGAAAGAACATAGGAAATCAATAAAATTTAGGTTTGAATTCAAGCTTTGGCACCTACCTGCTAAGTGATTCTCGGATTCCCAATCTGTAAAATGGATAAAACAAAGCCAGTTTCAAAAGATTGCTATACATTTTAAATTATGCAATACAAGTAAAATGCTAACATTTTATCTGCCATAGAGTTGGTCCTCATAAATATCTAGTGTCATTGCTATTGTAATTATTTTTTTTTTGACAGGGCCTCACTGTGTTGCCCAGGCTAGGGTGCAGTGGTGTGATCTTGGCTCACTGCAACTTCTGCCTCACGGGTTCAAGTGAGTTTCGTGCCACAGCCTCCCAAGTAGTTGGGGTTTCAGGCACCCACCACCACTGCTGGCTATTTTTTGTATTTTGAGTAAAGACAGGTTTTGCCATGTTGGCGAGGCTGATCTCAAACTTCTGGCCTCAAGTGCTCCACCCGCCTCAGCCTCCCAAATTGCTGGGATTACAGGCGTGAGCCACCACACTTGGCCTAATATTTTGAACACATTTTACTCTTGGCTATTGATGCACGGAGTGTTAGAGCTGAAATAGTTCTTAATTTTGGTCTCTCCTACTGTAGATCAGGAAGGCAAGAGATAGAGAGGACAAATGAGCTATTCAAAGAGCAGAGGGTCACAAATAGAACTAGCGTTCTCCTCAAGCCATCTTGATCCATCAGTTTCAATTCATGCTATAATCTATTGTATAGTATCTGCTCTATGTTGATATTTCCTTACTGGTAGCAGTATTCCTCTTCCCACCTCATAGTGTATACTTGTATATCATTTTGAAGTTGCAGCTAATAATCAAGGACTCTGTCTAATGTTTCATGTGAAACCCTTGGACTTCATGATATTTTGAATGTTAAATAATTTCATCATTTTAATAGTTTATCTCAGCAATGGCGTATGCAAAATTAGCTGGATGAAGAGTGTTATCTGACCAAGGCCAAAATCTGTAGCCCAGAGACATAGTACATTTTCCCTGGCCCAGTGGTGCTGGAATATATTTAAGCCTTTACAGCAAACTAAAACAATTCATTTAAGGAATTATGAGAGCCAAACTATTTTTTTAGAGCCTCTGACTGATACTTCATGTGCTAATAGAGAAAAATATTATGATGTCAATGTTTTTCTCTTTAAAATATAATGTAATGTGGCATGACTGATATAGCCAATCTTGAATATTAGAAATGATGCATCATCACCTAATTCATCAAAATCAATCTCGAAAAGGTCAGTCTTACTTGAAAAATAAGTTGATTGGCCTTAAATGAACATACTACGATCTCAAAATTAGAGAGAGACCTCATGGTTTTGCTAAGTTGTTTTTTCAAAGTACCCTCATCACAAAATTTAGGCATGCAAATGTCAACAATTTGTGTAGTTACGCATTTAAAAAGTCTTCTTCAATGGAAACACACAAAGTTTCATAACTTTCAGTGGCTGATGCCTACCGTAAATAACTACCACAGATTACATAGTAAACTCTTCATTACTCAGGGATTGACCAGTCAGTTGGTAAATTAACTGCGTTCTAGATTTTTTAATTCTCTCTCCTCATTGCATGTCTGCTGGTTACATCAGTACTCACTAGCAAGTCAAACATCATGAAGGAAAAAAGCTAAAGAATATCCCATTGATTTTAAAAATTATGGAGAAAACGTTTAAAAATTGGCTTTCATTTGAAACTTTGAGTCTCTGTACACATAATATATCAAAGCTCCTTCTCTTTACTATTTATACAAGGCACTGTCTTGCGGTCAGTTATATATTTTAACAGGTGAAGAGCAGAGGCAGTAATTTTTTAAAAAATTTTTCTAATTTTTAATTTGTATAGGTATATAGTAGGTATATATATTTATGGGGTACATGAGATATTTTGATACAGGCATGCAATGTGTAATCATCACATCAGGGTAAATGAGATAATCATTGCCTCAAGTATTTATCCTTTCTTTGTGTTACAGACATTCAATTATACTCTTTTAGTTATTTTTAAATGTATACTACATTTTTGTTGACTGTAATCACTCTGTGTATTAGGCCGTCCTCACACTGCTATAAACAAATACCTGAGACTGAGTAATTTATAAATAAAAGAGCTGTAATTGACTCACGCTTCTGCAGGCTGTACAGGAAGCATAGCATCTTCTGGGGAGGTCTCAGGAAACTTACAATCATTGTAGAAGGTGAAGGGGAAGTAAGATGCCTCACATGGCCAGAGAAGGAGAAACAGAGAGAGAAGGGAGAGGTGCCACACACTTTTAAAAGACCAGATCTTTTTTTTTAATTTTATTATTATTATACTTTAAGTTTTAGGGTACATGTGCACAATGTGCGGGTTTGTTACATATGTATACATGTGCCATGTTGGTGTGCTGCACCCACTAACTCGTCATTTAACATTAGGTATATCACCTAATGCTAACCAGATCTTACAAGAGCTCTATCATGAGAAAAGCACTGGAAGGATGGTGCTAAACAATTAGAAACTGCCCCCATGATTCAATCACCTCCCACCTGGTGCCCCACCTCCAGCATTGGGGATTACATTTCAACATGAGATTTTGGGGAGAACACAGATCCAAACCATATCAACCTGTTATACTATCAAATATTAGATCTTATTCATTCTATCTAATTATATTTAGGTACTCGTTAACCATTCTCAGTTTCCCCTGCATCTCTCACTACCACTACCCTTCCCAATGTCTGATAACTATCATTCTATTCTCTATCTCCATAGGTTCAATTGTTTTAATTTTTAGATCCCACAAATAAGTGACAGCATGCAGTTTGCCTTTCTATTCCCAGCTTATTTCACTCAACACAATGTCCTCCAGTTCCATCTATGTTGTTGCAAATGACAGGATCTCATTCTTTTTATAGATGAATAGTACTCCATTGTGTACTGTACCAGATTTTCTTTATCCATTCATCTGTTGATGGATACTTTGGTAGATCCCAAATCTTGGCTATTGTGAATAGTGCTGCAATAAATACAGAGTGCAGATATCTCTTCAGTATACTGATGTCCTTTCTTTTGGGTACATACCGAGCAATGGGATTGCTGGATTATATAGTAGTTCTATTTTTAGTTTCCTGAGGAATATTCTAGGATAAAAAGATTTTTGTTTTCTTTCAGCACTTTAAATATGACATGCCATTCTCTCCTGGACTGATATATTGATATATTGTATATAGTCTGCTGCCAGATATATTGGAATGCCTTTGTGTGTTATTTTTTCTCTTGCTACTTTTAAGGTTCTTTCTTTATTTCTGACCTTTGTGAGTTTGCTTATTAAATATCTTGAGGTAATCTTATTTGGGTTAAATATCAGCGTTCTATAAATTTCCTGTACTTGAATGTTGATATCTTTCTCTAACTTTGGAAAGTTCTATCTTATTATTTCTTTGAATAAACTTTCTACTTCTACCCAGCTGAATTCTGCCCTGTGTTGCTTTCCACTGTGACCAGGAAGCACTGAGTTCTAATGCAAAGTCCCGCAATCACTGCACTCACCCTCTCTCAAGTGCACTGATTTTCTTTCTGTGCCATGTGGTCCAGACCAGGGGACGGCGGAGGGATGGTATCAGTAATTCAAGACTGTCTTTCCTACCCTCTTCCATGCTTCTTTTCTTGATATTATGTTAAAACCAGGTATTGTAATCACTCATCCAAGTTTTGGTTCTTCTGAAGGTGCTTTCTTGTGTGAATAGTTGTTCACTTTGGTGTTGCTGTTGTGGAGTCGATCACTGGAGGGTTCTATTTGGCCATGTTGCTCTGCAGAGGCAGTAATTTTGATTTATCAATTCTATTAGTTTATAGGGGTTTTGTTTGATTCCTTTTACTAATCTTATGAGTAATTTTCTCAAACTTGTGTTTGCATAAGAGAGCCATTTTGTGTGTGCTGAAAGGCTGTGTGTGTGTGTCTGTGTGTGTGTGTGTGTGTGTGTGTGTTGCTTAATGTCAAATAGATTCAAACTATTGGTAATTTTGAATTGACCAGCTGTTTTCATGTAAAAGCAATGATAATCAACATTTTGGTGAGATAGGGAGGTAACTTAAGATTCTAGTAATTAACCAAGGTGTAAGCAACTTAAAATTATTTCCATCTGTAAAATTATCATTTCAACAAATTATATTGTTTTAGAGCAATGACCATGTCAGCAATGACAATGACAATGTAGCAATGACAAGGACAAAGTTAATTCTGGTTACAAAAGAAATAATTCTTGTTTAGTGAATCAAAGATCTCCACTCAAAATCACACCATTTGAATTCTTGCAGACTTTGAAGCTTAAATAGATTCTTAGCCTTCACAACCCCTGGGCATTTTTAATAAGAAGCATAGTGTGATTCTCTGCTTGGGTAAGGAAATAAAACAGAAATTTTTCTCGAAAGGGCCATAAGGTATATTACATCCAATTAGTCCTATCTTGACTCTGTGAAGTTGTCCCAAATAAGAGTGGGTGATAACTGTTTGTAATTTCCAACCACAGAATTCACCTTAGTTTGTACTTTGAATAGTTAATGCTTGGCAGTAGCAGCTTACTTTAATATAGGGGACATCTGGAAAATACCTTGTAAACGATGAAACCAAAACATTCAATTGTCCAAAAATATTATGGAGTGAAGAACACAACCACATATAATTAACTTAAATGTACAGAGGCATTATATTTGTTAAATAATTTATTAATAATATTATTTTTCAGTTCTTTTCATTCTTTGCAGGAAGTTATTATACATCAATTTTAATTATTTTAGTTTTATATTTTCTGTTGTCTCCTGTGATTATTTAAATCAGAATTACCATTTCCTAAACATAATTGCAGATTGAAACATGTGACTATATTTCTTATTTTAATTTTTTGTTTTATAAGCTTCATCTGGTACATATTAACCATGAACCTTACTCTCATTCAATTCAGCTCATGGTCAGATACCACAATTGAAGTAGTATCACTCCTATAATATTTTTACCATTTATTATTGAAAGCAGTTGAGAATTAATGATTTTAACAGAAGTGACGTTTGTATACAGTTCCATTAAACAATTAAGATAATACTTGATCCACAGAATACATTGGAAACTTTATAAATTAGAAATACGCTGAATAAATAGACAACTCATGCTGAGAATAAATGTTGAATAAATCAAACAAATGTTTCATCATACTTGGATCCTTCCAATCAGTTATCTAATTTCTACAAATGTATTTTACATTTATCCTTTTAAGTCCATTTATAATGTCATCGCTCTTTGCCAACAATACTAAATGTTAATTAAATTTTGAATATTTTAATCACTATTACATTGTGATTGAAAAAAACAGTGTATTCAATCTAATTTTAATGTGTCTCAACCTCAGAAAATATTTTTCTCTGGTCATATTTTCATGAGTAAAAATTATTTCCAATTATATTTTAACCGTGTCTTTTTCATTATTTTAAACAGTAAAATTTTAATATGTTTACTCCCTTCTTGTTTTATGAGTCTAAATGCTGTAAAATAACAATAGCCAATGTGAATTACGCAAGCATTTTAAAATGTAAAAAAAAGCACCTTGATATGAAAAGAAATGCTCAGTTGTACTCTCAAGACAAGAATTTAATAATAAATACTATGCTTAATGAAGACAGTTTCTAAAATTAAAAAACCCCAAAGTGATACATAACACAGATATTAGTAACAAAAAGAGAGGCTAGATTACTTCTTGCTGATTCTCACCTACACCAGCCTCCAATAAATTTCTTTCTTTTGAAACTGCTTTTCACCTGCTTATCTAAATGTGACTTCTATCTCTCTATCCCTCAGTCCTCCATTTGTCATGAATTGTTCTCTCACCTACTGTTCCCACAGTTCACTCTCTGCCCTGAAAATTGTAATAGTTTCTGTGTTCATAACTTAGTCTTACTCTCCAATGATTTCTCATATTTTATGATTACTGTTACATTAAATGTTTTATTTCCTTGACCACATTGTAAAGTCATGGAGGACTGGAAGCATGTTTTATGCTTTTGGATTGTCCATTATATTGGATACAGTGCCACGGTCAACAGCGTATTGTATATGTACATTTATATGCTCCCAACATATGTAACCCTCTTCCCATCATCAGCTTCTTTTCCCTTGTTTCAATGTTTCTCAACTGAGTAGCTCCAGCATGCCTACCAGCGGCCAAATCAAATTATCAGTATTTTCCCCAATCTAATAAATCAGTAAGTCTTATCTAGTATTCCTTCTCAATATATCTTGAATTTATCACTATCTCCCATTGACACTATCGTAGGTCAAGCCATTGTTAATCTATAACTTAGCTTGCACTGGCCTTCTAACTGGTGTAACTCTTCAAAATTGCTTCTTTCAAAACACTTGCTTATTCAGTAGCCAGAGTGATGTTTCTAAAATGTAGACATAAGCTAATTTCCTGCTTAAAATCACCAGTTGTTTTTTATTTGGCTCATGATAAAGTCCAAGCTAAGCAGGGTAGCATAAAAGAACTATTATGATCTGGGGTCTGTCCACTTTGCCACCTCATGCCAAATAGCTCCCTTCATCACTCTCAATGTCTTGTTATACCAAATTATATCAAATACCTTTCCATTTTACATAACAGTGCACTTTCTACATGTATCTCCTCTTCTTCATATATGTATTCTCCTACACTTTACCAGCATGTATTGATCTTAGATCTTTTTACAAAAGGTTTAGATGATTTCTCCTCCACTCTTGAAAGAAATATTTTATGTTCTCCAAATTTGCTTGCATAATTTCTTTAAATTTGCATGTATAATTCATTATGTTTCTCCCTATTTTAACAGTTGTCATTTACTGATGTTATAAGTATTCTTCTGTTTGCCCAGTCATCTGTAAGTAAATTACATGCAGAGGGCTATGTTTTCCCATAGTTTAATCCCAAATACTTAGTAAAAATATGTTTTTAAAATATTTTTAAATGAGTGATGGGTGGTTTGGTAGATGGATGGTTAAAAGAACAATTTTTTAATACATAATAAATATGAGTTGAACCATGAGAAATGAAATTTATAGAGCACTGGTACAATAATGTGTAATTTTCCTTTAAAATGTCTTTAAAATTCATTTAATAACTCATTAATTTTATTATGATACAAATAATAATAATGATGAAGTTGGGCAGCAAAGGTAATAAGGAGTTACATTATTGAGCACTTAATGTATGCTAGATAGTGTGCTATGCCCATTTATATTACTATTATACACGCCACTCTTAATTGCTTATTTTCTTACCAAGCTTGAGAAAAGAGAGTCAATCAGACTGTAGTGAGCCAGCTCCAGTTTCTGTTTTACTACCAAAACGATCTACTTTATAGCCTTTCATTTCTTGTCTTTATCTATGCAATGGAGACAATATTTGCTGACTTTATAACAATATAGTTATGGGAACTGAGGCAAGATGTTGAAAATTATTTTAAACTCAGACTACAGAAATTTGATATAAGCCATTCCTTTTCTAAATTGTAATTTATGTTCCTTCAATATCAGAAAATAATATTGCCTTCATTCATATCAAAAGTACTCCGTATCTGAATCTTTCATTCCAGCCGATCTGATATACTCACTATATTCCAAATAGTTCATGATGGCATGTGTGAAGAAAATAGTACATTGTGCATTTCTGCACTCTTCTTCCTAGTTTTAACCGACAATTTAGTTCTCATGGTTCCCTTTTCTGACACCTTTATCTTTATAGAGTTTTTTAAAGTGACATTTGAACATATGTAAGTTACCTCAAATCTTTTTTGGAATAGGCTAGGGAGAAAATGAGACAGAAATTGTGAAAATAAAATGCCAGTCATAAGATAACTGAAAATAAATGAAGATTGGCTCACCTATCAGGTTATAATAATTTTTTTAACCACAACATTACGATTCCGTAAGTCCGTAGGAAGAATTATTTCAAAAGAAATTTCCAAAAGGGCAAAAAGGGCAGAGTAGGAAACTTGAAAATTCATCTCCTCATAAAAACAACACAAAAGCTAGGCAAACAACAACAAAAATCTTGTCTAATTTGACTTTTCTAGAATTCTGAAAACTAACTAAGATGCTGGAGAAATTGGGAGACCATTTGTTGAAGAAATACCTACTGAATCTTGGTAAGAACAATGAGCTTTGAGGTATTTACACTTACCCTGGTTCCATCCCATACTCCTCATCTTAGTGATGGTAGTCATGAAAATGTACTGTATTTCTAGTACAGGTAATCAGTGCTGGAGGGAGCAAAACAGACCTCGCTCACAAATAATTGTTTTAGCCCACCTGGTAGCTCCCTGAAAGACCTGCTTAAAGTCAAGCTAAAAGTGCTTGCCTTAATGTCTCATAACATGGAACTCTCCCAGTGCTGAGGTTGCTACCCCAAGGATGTTTGTCAAAAATGTTCACAGGCAAATATAATAGTCACTGTTTCCTGGGGAAGTGAATAAAAGTTGGGGCAAAAAAAAATAGATTAATTAAAAGCTTAGGATGAAAGGCTGGAGATTGAAATGCTTTGGGGAATAAAGGCTTTGAAAATTTCACATATTCTGGGAATCCAGAGGGCCACACGTAGGTACAGGGCAGTGCAAATCCTCAGGAAAAACCGAAAAAGGCATTAATCTCTCGCCACTGACTAACCTTCGGTCTCTGCGCTGGCAAGAAGTGAATGCTAGGGCAGGGATGGTACACGGCCTCACTAGAGTTTAACACACAGAAGCCCATCTCAAAATTCTGGGAGATGTTTTTGGTTCCAGGCAAGTATAGAAATCTCTGTCCAATCACTAGCTGACTACTAACCTCACAGAAAAGAGATGTTATTGACCACACATGACAAAGAATACAGACTTTATGATATTAATTCAGAAAAGTCACTAAACAAACAATCACCATAACAAACAGAACATGAAACTCTGGAGAAGAGAAAAACCTGAATTCCATGCTTGCTACATTATAATTCTCAAAATGTCCAGTTTTCAACAACAAACACAACAGGCATTAGACGTGCCAACAAACAAGAAGGTATATTCCATGCACAGGAAAAGAAGCCATTCATATAAACTGCCTCTGATTAACCTGAGACATTGGTCTTAGCAGACAAATCCTTTAAATCAGCTATTTTAAGTGTGTTCAATGAACTAAAGAAAATCTTGCCCAAGGAACTGAAGAAAATAATGATAACAATGTATCACCAAATAGAGAGTATCAATAAAGAGAAAGAAATTTAAGAAATGAATCAAGTAGAAATTCTGAAGCTAAAAAGTACACATTTAAGGTACTAAAAAAAAAAACTATCAACCAAGAAAATAAGGCATTCCATAATAAATAAAAACAGTTTTCACTAATAGACTTGTCCTAAAAGAAATGCTAAAGGGAGTACTTCAGACTGAAACTAATGGACACTAGACAGCTACTTGAATCCACACAAAGAAATTAAGAACATGGTTAATAGTAAATAAATAGGCATTATAAAAGTATTATGTAAAAGTCATTATAAATGCATTTATTGTTTTAACTCCTCTATTTTGCTATCTGATTTAAAAGACAATAGCAAGAACAATAATTATAAATCTACGCTAGTGGACACACAATATAAAAAGACAATTTATGGCAGTAACATAAAGTTTCAGTTAGGATGAATAAGCTCTAGAGATGTAGCATACAGCACAGTGACTATAGTTAGGAATTATGTATTGTACACCTGAAAATTGGTAAGAGAGTAGATCTCAAATGTTCTCATAACCAAAAAAATGATAAGCATGTGAGGTAATGAAGATGTTAGCCTGATTTAACCATCTTACAATATGTACATATATCAGAACATCATGTTATACACCGTGTATGCATACATATACAATTTTTGTCAGTTATACTTGTAAAAGCTGAGAAAATAAAATTAAATAAAGAATTCGAGTTCAGAAATAAATCCTAGTACTTATGTTCAATTGATTTCAACCAAAGTGCTGAGACCACTCAGTAAAGAAAGAATAGTCTTTTCAACAAACAGTGCTGAGACAATATAATATCGAAAAGAAAAACAAGGAGTTTGGGCCGCTATCTCTCACTACATAGAAAAACTAACTCATAATGGATCAAACGCCTAAATGTAAGACCTAAAACTACAAAACTCTGAAAAGAAAATATACGTGCAAATTTCATATATTTGAATTAGGTAGTGGTTTCTTAAGTATGACTCCAAAAGCACAAGCAGCAAAAGAAAAAAATGGTAAACTAAATTTAATCAAAATTAAACTTTTTATATATTGAAATATATTATCAAGGAAGTAAAAAAAGACCCATGAAATGAGAAATAACGTTTGCAAATAATATATCTCATAAGGGTTTAATATCCAGAATATGTAAAGACCATAAAATTCAACACCGATAAGATAAACAACACAATTGAAAAATCAGCAAGTGATCTGGATAAGCGTTTCTCCAAAGAGGATATACAAATGAACAGCAAGCACTTGAAAAGATGCTCAGCATCATTAGTCATTAGAGAAATGCAAATCAAAACCACAGTGAGATACCACTTCATACCCACTAGAATGGCTAAGAAAAATGGAAAACAGGCCGGGCGTGGTGGCTCACACCTATAATCCTAGCACTTTGGGATGCCAAGGCAGGCAGATCACTTGAGGTCAGGAGTTCGAGACCAGCCTAGCCAAAATGGCGAAACCCCGTCTCTACTCAAAATACAAAAATTAGCCGGACGCGGTGGCAGGCACCTGTAATCCCAGCTACTCAGGAGGCTTAGGCAGGAGAATCACTTGAACCTGGGAGGCGGAGGTTGCAGTGGGCTGAGATCTTGCCTCTGCACTACAGCCTGGGTGACAGAGGGAGACTCCATCTCAAAAAAAAAAAAAAAAAGGAAAATATTAAGTGTTGGTGGGCACGTGAGAGAACTGCACCCCTGATCCATCATTATTGGGAGTATAAAATGATGCAGCCACTGTGGAAAACAATTAGGCAGTTCCAAAACCTAAACGTAAAGTTATTATGTGACACAGTAATACCACTCCCAGATAAAGCTCAGGCGACTGAAAATAGTTGTTCATAAGAAAACTCATGTTTAGAGCAGCATTATTCACAGTAGCCAAAAGGTGGAAATAATCCAAATGGCCATCAGCTGATGAATGGGTAAACAATATGTGGTATGTTCATGTAATGGAATATTATTCAGCCACAAAAAGCAACACAGTACTAGCACACGCTACAATATCCATGAACTCTGAAAAATTATCCTAAATGAAAGATGCCAGACACAAAGGTCACATATTGTACGATTCCATTATTGTGAAATGTCCAGAATAAATAGACAAATTCATGGAGACATAAAGCAGATTAGTGGTTGCAAGTGGCAGGAGCTGAGAGGAATTGGTAGTGACGGATTAATGGATTTTCTTCCAAGAGTGATGAAAATGTTCTACAATTAGATTGTTGTGATAATTAGACACCATTGTGATTTTACTAAAGACCACTGAATTTTACATTTTTAAATCGTTAAAATGGTAAATTTTATCCCTGTTTTTAAACATTTACAAAAAAATTTCCAATACAAGTTTTCAATATACATACTAATATGGAAAACAATGAGAATATATTTCATGGCTTGTTGTGCATTCTATGTGAGGTTTGTTTGATGAAAACACCTTTCTTTTCAACTATTGGTCTGAAACTCACAATCATGTTAAATCAGGTTTTCCCAATATCCATTTGTAGAGTCTAGTACAGTACATTTTTACTAGGATATAAGCATTTTGAGGATACAAATATTTCTTGTTTAGTTAACTGTTTGCAACTAGCTTATTGACTTACAAATAATGAGCATATCAATAAGTAGTTGTTTAATAAATTTATTAATTTCCTGGCTTGGGGGAAGGAAGGTAACATATTATCATTGGCAGTGCTTTGTCGAATTCTTGCCTTCAGATTTGAATACAAAAAATATGATTTATTGTCATAGCTACAAGTAGGATAGAGCAGCTAATATGTTAGGTTCACAGAGATCAGTCAATTGATAAATATGATATTATACTAAGACTTGAATTAACTTAATCTTCAGAAACCCGTGGAAGCTTTACTTTATGTAATATGATTATTATTATCATCTTTGATTTCAGTATTAAATGCTTTGTGGCTCCTTAGAGTCCTAGAACAATGTAAAAGAAGGTAGAGAGGAGGTCCACTTTCATATAAGTGAGAATTTTTAGCTGTCAGATAGTTGACATTAATGAACTTCACATTTATCTCTTCCTAACAGCAATTTTTAAGCATATATCTGTTAATCTAGGTCTTTCATTATTTCCATACATAAGCCCATTGCAAAATTCACCAAATGACACAGTAGACTGTCCCTTCAATAATATTATTAGAAAAAAAGTGCACTGTTGGGTTCATTTTTTGTAGTTTCTTGTAGCAACCTTAGTTAAACTAAAGCTGGAACTAAACAACTAAAGTTTACTTGCTTAATTTAACCTTCAGTCTATGATATTCTCATGTCTGATCTTTATTTTAGAAATACATATTATAGGCCCAGGGCGACGGCTCATGCCTAGAATCCCACCACTTAGGGAGGCTGAGGCAGGTGGATCATGAGGTCAGGAGTTCAAGAGCAGCCTGGCCAATATGCTGAAACCCAGTCTCTACTAAAAATACAAAAATTAGCCAGGCGTGGTGGCACACAGCTTGTAATCCCAGCTACTAGGGAGGCTGAGGCAGGAGAATTGCTTGACCCTGGGAGATGGAGGTTGCAGTGAGCCAAGATCACACCACTGCACTCCAGCCTGGGTGACAGAGCAAGACTCTGTCTCAAAAAACGAAAGAAAAACATATCATACCTGCTATGTACAATTTCTTTTCACAATATAATAGGTTTGGATTTTACCTTTTATTATATTTCTTTCCTCAAATATTATTATTTTATTTCAGCACTCCTTTTGAATTGCCCACTCTGCTTTAACAATAATGCTGTTGTTTATTTGTATGGTGCCTGAAATAAACCATGCTATTGGTCTACCTTGGCTGCCATTTCTTATTCCTCATCCAACCTGTTTTCTTTCAAAGAGGCTAGCTCTTATTAAAGAAAGATGACACCAACTAGTAATGTTTTGACTACTTTAGACTCCTGAAAACTGTGTTTTCCATCATTCTCTTGAACTTCCATAAAGCTTGTCCTGGTTTTAATCTAATTTTCATAAGTTACAGAGCTATGCAACTCAACACAAGAAGCAATACTAATAAAACTTACTCCAAAGACTACCACTGGAAATGTTTTGTTGTTTTGAATCTTACTATGTCATTCTTGGAAAAAGTGGCTTTCATTTCCAATGAGGGTAGATTTCACTTTGTTTGAAAAAGTGGTAGAAGAAAACGACAGGCGAAGAACCACTTAAACAGGTCACTTTGAAGGAGTTCTTTATACTTGAAATTCTATTCTCTCAAGTTCATAATTTTTATAATTGAAATATAAAATATTTTATTTTCATAGTAAACCTCAAAAATAAAATTAATATCTCATGAGCAAACTATCTGAAAATGTTCATGTATTGCTAGTTGTCCAAGAGTAGTTTGAAGATGACTCATTGCAACACTGGTAGAACGGGCATCATTTGTCTGCCACCCAGTTCTAGAATGAAGAGCCGACTGCATTTTGTTGCACCCAAGACACTATGAGGAAGGATTTGCTCACAATTTTGTAATTGAATTCATTAAAATTTTTACTCTCATAAATATTTGCTATCATTTAGAGTTTCCTGTCATATAAAAAATGTAGAGTTTTGAAGATACACCAAAAATGTGTCATATTGGACTCACTCTTAAAAATTAATTAATCATGCAGCATGTAAAACATATAGAAATTATAAAGGATGTAAAAATGAAAACAAAAAATGGAAATTATAAAGAATGCAATAGTCATATCTACTACCTAGCTTAATAAATAATATATTGCCAAAGGTCAAAATATTTGTTGTTTCTTTCTTCCTGAACATCAGCCTCTGCAGTAAACTTGTTTCTGTATATGACTGTCTTAAATTTCCCTGCATGTTTATTGCATACATACGGATCCTTAAACAACATCCGGGGGTTGGAGGGTGAGGCAGGGCATATAGTCTATAATTTGCAGAAAATATATATGAGTCAAGGATACTATTGTGTGGAGACCAGCATGAGCAAAAGAATAGACCCAGAGTCATTGAGGTACTATTATGTGTAGGGTCTGGTAAACATGGGTCACTGAAGGCACACCATGATTATAGGTTCTGAATAGCTTTTTTTTCTTCTTCTTCTTCTTTCAAGAGACAAGGTCTTGCTCTGTCACTCAGGCTGGAGTGCAATGGCACCATCATAGCCTGGGTTCAAGTGATGCTCCTACCTCAGCTCCCTCAGTAGCTAGGACTACAGGTGCATACCCCCACATCTTGCTATTTTTTTGTTTTTTTCTAGAGATTGGGTCTTCTGTGTTGTCCAGGTCTGTCTTGAACTCCTGGCCTCAAGTGATCCTCTAATTTAAACCCCCAAAAGTGCTGGGATCAGAGGCATAAGCCACTGGACCTGGTTTACAGGTCCTAAATATCTAAGAGCAATGCCAACGTAAGTCCAATGCTACACATCCTCTCTCTCCAAATGGCTCAAAATGGAGGCAAAGGAGTGGGACTCCAAGACAGAAGATGTGAGTGAATTAGAGGAGGAGGAGAAACAAAAGAAACAAATATGGGGATATCGGCTTATAGCCATGTCTACATTTACAACAACCCTGCTCTTTTACCTGCAACAAAATAATCTAAAACAGCTTATTAAAAATAGATTAGTTTTGTTTTATTACTATGGCATTAACCAGTATGTGTTCACAAATGAAGGCAGATTGGGAATAGACTTCGCTTCACTTTCAAGGTTCCTTTCCTCAATTAAGTCTAAAAGAGGAGAACTATTTCCCCACTCCCTCATCCCCATGAAAAACAAAAGAAAAGAAAAAATTCTGTATCTTTAATTTTTTTCTACCAAAGCTGATACCTGAAAATCTTTTACAGCTGCATCTGCTATTTCCTGCTCAGCCCTTTCTTAACTCTCTTAGATATGAGCTAAAAGAAAATATGCCCAGATACCACCTTACCCTAGCAGCATATTCTCTACCTGCCTTACCCACTCTGTGTGCCAACCCACTTGTTCTGATGCCTGAGGTAGAAATAGTAGAGTTTTGGCTGCAAAATGCTTTCTTCTTGCATTTATTATAGATGACAAAAATATTTTGGAGTTAAATGGTGAGATGGAGGGATTTTTTTTTAGGTCTTATATTTGACTAAAGATTTGTGTTTCTTGCTTTGTGAAAATTTAATATTTTAACTGTATTCCAGCAGCCCTATGAAAGTAGGTAAGGTAGATGTACTAAACCCATTAACATGATAAGGCAACCAGAGGCTCAGTGGATTGCTAAGATGGTGAATTGCTTTTTTACTAGGTGAAATTATATTTTTATGGAAAGGACAGAAGGAGCAGAGTTTGTTTTGGTCTTTTGCTTCGTTTTTTGTAAATGTGCATGTGTTAGCAAAAACACAAAGCAGCAAGAAACCAAGGATGTGGTAAATTATTCACTTTATGACTTCAAAGAGCTTCTCTTTTATGACTAGCAGCCTCACAGATCAATAGATAACGGGTGTAAATAAGAATCATAGAATTTAGGAGTTGGACAAGGCTTTGAAGGTTATTCAGGACAACCCCTCATAAGGAGTTATGTTGGTCCAATATTGCTTGGAAAAGATGGGCTAGGCCAGACCTTCCAGTCTAGTCTGAGTTTGAGTTTGTGTGAGAAGTTTGACTGGAACTAGGTACAAGCCTACTTTTTCTTTGATTTACTTACAGAGTAGGAAATAAGAAGGGCAAAGATTGCCAAAGAACTAAGAATGCTTTGAGGGTTAAAATTTCTGCTGCGTTCGCACTGGGGCACTCTTGTACCTGCGATTGCTCTGCGGGGCTTAGGAGATTTCCCATATTGCCCAGTATGGGCAGAATTGTCCACAACCTGCCACAAGAACTAACCCAGACTCTGCGAGAACATTCCCCCACAATGGGTAGTTGATATCATAGAACTTTCTTTCTCACTGTAGGAAACCCTAATTTGTCAGCCTTTCTTCTACTGCTTTATATTGAAAGCAAGGCTAGCTTTTAATCATAAAGGGACAAAAAAAAAAAAAAAAAAAAAAAAAAAGGCACACTCCTAGTTAACACCCAGCTTCTACTGCTCTTTTAGAAGTCCCTTTGTTTCATGGAGACCAGAAAAAACCATTTACATTTCCAACTCTTTGTCTTTTTTATTTTATTTTATTTTATTTTTCACTCGGTCTCCCAAACTAGACTGCAGTGGCGCGATCTCGGTTCACTGCAACCTCCGCCTCCTGGATTCAAGCGCTTCTCATGCCTCAGCCTCCTGAGTCGCTGGGATTACAGGCACCTGCCACCACGCCCGGCTAATTTTTGTATTTTGAGTACAGACGGGGTTTCGCCATGTTGGCAAGGCTGGTCTTGAACTCCTGACCTCAAAGTGATCCTCCCACCTCAACCTCCCAAAGTGCAGGGATTACAGACGTGAGCTACCGTGCCCGGCCTCTTTGTCTTATTTTTGCAGCCTGAAACAAAGAAAAAGTCAACAATCTTTTTTTTTATTTTTTTATTTTTTGCAAGCCAGCCCTTCAAATACTTAAATGAATTATCTCTATTTCACAACCATTCACAGCCTTGGTCTTCATCTTTGTTTTTTGTTTTTCTTGTCCCCAAATCCCGACACATCTTCTCCCATGATACAACTCCCTATTCTGTTGAGTGCCTTCAGCGGAACACTCTCCAGTGTGTCACTGCCATTATAAAACGCAGATCTCTTAGTGACCCCAGGTGAATCTCAATCCTTCCCCCTGAATAGCACGTTTCAACTAGGAATCCATTCGTGTCTATCTTGGTAATCCTATACAGTCAGTCATTCCGCTGAGGGTTCCACCTAAGGGTGACCCCAAACGAAGGGAGGGAGGAAGGAGAAAGAAAACAAAGGTGAAAGAAAGAACAAATACAGAAATATAAGGAAGAAAGAAAAAGATAAAAAGAAAGAAGAGGGAGGAACAGAAGGAAAGATTTAAAAAGAAGAAGAAGAAGAATGCATCTACTTTAGCATATTTTCTTAATAAATCACGCAAGTTTTAAAGAGTCCCCCTCTTTTATCTTCTAAGGTCTCACAAACTATTTGATAAACATTACAGTAGGTATTTCTTTTTTTTTTTTTTTTGCCTATATAATATGCACTCTCTTTTTTCTCTAATACCAATATCCTAATTTCCTAATGAATCCAGGCTCCGTCACTCCTAGGACAAGTGCTTTGTGTGGCAGAGCTGTGTCCAATGCTAGCTTTGTAGACACATGGTATGCTGTTCTGAACAATCAGATCACTTTATTTCTCCAACCATGACAACTGGTTCAGAGATGGACATCTGACCTATTCAGAGCCATTCAGAATTAACCTCAGTTTTTATTGAGAAAACCAGAATAGATTCTATTTCAACACGATTTGGAAGAAATCTTGGGAACATTAGTGACCTCAACAGGAAAAAAAAAAAAAAAAAAGCAAACGTGGAAGAAAAATAAGCTGATGGCGGGGACGGGAAGGAGCCAGGAGATAAAAACAGCTTCCTGATAGCTGGAAATAGACAAAGCAAGCTGCGGTTAGTTCTACTGGAGACGTTTTCCCTTACTGATCTTTTTTGTTTAAGCCTCTTGTAGCTGAGTTTCTTTTATTTGCAACAGAAAGAGACATGTCTAATATTTATTTTCCCAAAATATGCATCAAATTTCACTTCTTTCCAAATTGATTATTTCCAGTTTAAAACATGAGGATGATGCGTGCACATCTTTAGTACTCTCAATGTTTCCAACCCTTATCTTCAATGTAATTTACTAACAATTATTTAAAGCTCCCTCTCTCACTATTGTAAGCTACACGAAGGCAGAAAGCATCACTTATTTTAATGACCCTTATAGTTTAGTGCAGTGCCAGGCACTTAGTTAACACACCATATAAATGTCTAGATAGATAGATATATAGAGGTAGGTGATAAAGAAATTTATATATATATATACACTATATATATAGTATATATAAAGAAATACATATATAATATATGCATGTGATAGAACGAAAGAAAGGATAGGTAGATTTATCGATAGGTATAAAGCCCGTGGGCTGTGACTTATGCCTGTAATTCTAGCAATTTGGGCGGCCGAGGCAGGTGGATCACTTTAGCCCAGGAGTTTGAGACCACCATGGACAACGTGACAAAACCCTGTTTCTATAAAATATACGAAAATTAGCTGGGTGTGGTGGCATATGCCTGTAGTCCCAGCACTCGGGAGGATGAGACGGAAGGATCCCTTGAGCCTGGAACTTCGAGACTGCAGTGAGCGGAGACTGTGCCACTGCATTCCAACCTGGGCAACACAGTGAAATCCTGTCTCAAATTGATAGATAGAATAATAGAAATAATTAAATGAACGTTATGTCAACTTCCCTATGGTCTATACATCTTCAGCCTTTAATAGCGTTTGCTTTGGGAGCTCATTCACAACATCTTTTATTATTCTGACAGGTTTCATTGGATCACGTTCTCCTGAATGATTTTCCCCTTCTCCCTTTATCCTGGGTTATCAGTTTTTCTAACTAAAGAATGTTCATTTTATGCTAGGAAGCTGAGCTCAGAGAGATGCTCCTCAAATTTTTAATCTTAGAAAATTTTCTGGGAAACCTATGGACAAGGTGCTCACCTCGCTTGCAAGAACAAGCTTAGTATATTCACAATCATACATTTCATTGTCTCTCTGAGGGTCAATGTTTCTTGCTGAAGCTCATAATGGATTTGAAAATCCTTGTAATGCCTAACTCCCCTTTAAACAATTAACCAGAGTCTCTTGGTTCCCTTGGAGACTATTCTAAGACTTAAAATTGTTTTTCTTCTCCCCTGCCCACACTGCAGCTAAAAGCTATGAATTACCACAATAAACAATATTGAGAAATGTCAAAAATCATCATTTCATCCCATGGAAAATAATCAAAGAGCAAAGATAGAGATTCCCTTCCTATTTATGCACTTGTTTAAGAAGTGTCTGACCTCTGTGGGATCTTCTGGGAAAACTTTGATATTTTGACTATTCGTTATTAAAAATTCATAGATAGAGATGAAAATGAATCATTTACTTTTTTTCAATCATACCAAAATTGGCCAAATGGCTTTTGCAGCTGACAGTTTCCAGTTATTCTTTGTGATGGAAAAGGGCTATCAATTTATGAAGGAGGAGGCATGATAGTGACATCCATAATAAAATTTAAGCAATAATCTGTACACAAATAACATATTTATCATCCCTCATGCAAAAGCTAAGCCATTTGCAATTTGTAAACTTACATTAAGTTCAAAATAAAGAAATTTTAAAAATGCATGCTAGTTAAATAAAATGCACAGTGTTTATAATTGGGAAACATAATATCAATAATGATGATGGTGATGATTATAGAGAGAAATTATATAGGTTTAAAAGTATGCCAGGCCCTCTAATAAGTGCTTTATGTAAATTGATTCATTTACTCCTTCCAAAGATCATTTGAGGCAGGTAATCAGCTAGGAAAAATATTCTACAGAGTATGCAGTAGGCACAGCAAGTGCCAAGGGTCTGAGGTGAGAATGAGCACAGCATGTTGAAGAAGCTAAAAGACAGAGTAGATAATATGTCTTTTACATAACAATATTTTATATCAATTTTCATTTCCTTTCTAGTACAAGATTATTTAGAATATTAAAATTTTCAGTTAAAATTGTTTTTTTTCCCTTGGCTATTCTTTTCTGTTGTTTTTTTTAAATATTTTGTTTCCATAATGTGGACTCAATTTTCAGTTTCATATAATTTGTTTTTATTTTAATTTTGAAATAATATATTAAAATTTAAAATATTATTTCATGAGTGTTGGAAAAACTGTATTGTTGTTTTAAGATTACAGTTCTGTGTGTGTGTGTGTGTGTGTGTGTGTGTGTGTGTGTGTGTATGTGTGTGCATGGCTACCAAATCAAATTTTTAGTAGTTTGAATTTTGCTATTCCTCTTTGAGTCTAATGTCAAATAAATTTTGTATGAAGTATCTTTAAGGCTCTAACATTTAAGGATCAGTAAATTTGTCTTTGTATTTCCATGAGCTTAATTTTGTATATTTTGATGCTGCATTTTAAAAATAAGTTACACTCAAGTTTTGTTTTTTATTGTATTTTAAGTTCCAGGATACATGTGTAGAATGTGCAGGTTTGTTACATAGGTAAACATGTTCCATGGTGATTTGCTGTACCTATCAACCCATCACCTAGGTATTAAGCCCAGCATGCATTAACTATTTTTCCTGATGCTTTCCTTCCCCCTGCACACTGCTCCCACCCCTCAACTGGCCCCAGTGTGTGTTGTTCTTCTCCCTGTGTCTACGTGTTCACATTGTTCAGCTCTCACTTATAAGTGAGAACACGCAGTGTTTGATTTTCTGTTCCTGTGCTAGTTTGCTGAGGATAATGGCTTCCAGCTCCATCCATGTCCCTGCAAAGGACATGATCTCATTCCTTTTTATGGCTGCATAGTATTCCATGGTGTATATGTACCACATTTTCTTTATCCAGTCTATTATTGATGGGCATTTGGGTTGACTCCATGTCTTTGCTACTGTGAATAGTGCTGCAATGAATATATGCATGCATGTATCTTTATAATAGAACAATTTATATTTCATTGGGTATATACCCAGTAATGGGATTGCTGGGTCAAATGGTATTTCTGGTTCTAGGTCTTTGAGGAAACACCACACTGTCTTCCACAATGGTTAAACTAATTTACATTCCCACCAACACTGTAAAAGCGTTCCTATTGGTCCACAACCTCCCCAGCATCTGTTGTTTCTTGACTTTTTAATAATCACTATTTTGACTGTTGTGAGATGGTATCTCACTGTGGTTTTTATTTGCATTTCTCTAATGATCAATGATGTTGAGCTTTTCTTCATATGTTTGTTGGCTGTGTAAATGTCTTCTTTTGAGAAGTGTCTGTTCATGTCCTTCGTCCACTTTTTAATGGGGTTGTTTTTTCCTCGTAAATTTGTTTAAGTTTCTCATAGATTCTGGATATTAGGCCTTTGTCAGATGGAGAGATTGCAAAAATTTTCTCCCATTCTGTAGGTTGTCTGTTCAGACTGATGATAGTTTCTTTTGCTGTGCAGAAGCTCTTTAGTTTAATTAGATCCCTTTTGTCAATTTTTTGCTTTTGTTTCAATTGTTACCAAAAAAGAGCCCATATAGCCAACATAACCCTAAGCAAAAAGAACAAAGCTGGGGGCATCATGCTACCTGACTTCAAACTATACTACAAGGCTACAGTAACCAAAACAGCTTAGTACTGGTACAAAAACAGACACACAGACCAATGAAACAGAATAGAGGACTCAGAAATAAGATTGCATGTCTATAACCATCTGATCTTCCACAAATCTGACAAAAACAAGCAATGGGGAAAGGATTCCCTGTTTAATAAATGGTGCTGGGAGAACTGGCTAGCCATATGCAGAAAATTGAATCTGGACCTCTTCCTTACACCTTATACAAAAATTAACTCAAGATGGATTAAAGACTTAATGTAAAATCCCAAACTATAAAAACCTAGAGGAAAACCTAGGCAATACCATTCAGGACATAGACAAGGGCAAAAATTTCATGTTGATGCTGTGTTTTTTTATGTATATAAGGTTTTATGATTTTACTTTTACCATTGTAAAATATGATTAGCTTGTCTCATTCATCTTTTTTTTCTGGTATTACAATGGGTTTCACAGTGTTGGTTCAATGCCTGCCTTTTGTTAAAATTTGCCCAATTTACTTTTACCATCATTTTATTATTATACTTTATATTGTCGAATTTTTAACTTTCTCACTTTCACACAACATATAGCTAGATATGGGATTGTTGTTCATTTGTTTTCTCTTCTTTCTTTTTTTTTCTTCTTTTCTCTCCCTAATGTTAAAGCCTCTGATTTATAAGGAAATATAACTCATGTTTATTATGCCTACAAACATACTTAGTATTTCTTAGGTTGAGATTCCCAGCAAGTGGAGCCTGTGGCAAAGGCTGGTGTGCTTCTGCTCCATTAGAGTGTGATCCCAGGGAGAAGTAGTGAGATCAAGTACAGCAAAGCAGGGAAGAAGGGAGAGCCAATAGAAAATGTGCCATGGGGCTGAGCATTACAAGGTAAAGCAGATGTTTGACCTTCAGGATCTCTTCCCCCAGAAGCTATATGACTGTGGCTCAGAACCGTGTGCCCAAAGGAGACAGAGAGGATAATTTATCTACACACATCTGTTGCCCATCACTCAAAAGTCTGGCTGATAGGGGGTTAATTCTGCCCCACCACCCACCCCTACACACACATATTTCGGTTGGACATAGGTGGGCACTGACGTAGATTCTTTGCTTCCTGTACTTATATGTGAATAGCAAAGTGTTGAGAACTGGAAGCATGAGTGAGTGACATGCAAGGAACTGACATTGAAGTAAGATTCTGTGAGGGTGAGGTTGCATTTGTAGAAAGTGGTTATAGTCCACTTAGCAATGGTCATCACAGAGGTGGCTGAGGGACCAGTAGATGGTTCTGAAAAGGTAAGTGGATGCTACCTAGGTTTGTTTAGTCTTCTTTCTAGCAGGGTTTCTGATTGGGTTTCATTTATTTTATTCTCTTGTACTGAATTGTCTTTTCCTATTTTTCTTTTTTGTTTTAAGCATTATTCATCATAGGCCTAATAGTTGCCCACATATATTTAATGTGTATGTTTATATTATAATTTTTGAAGGATAATTTGAATTATTATCCATTTAGAAAATGACCATAACATACTTTCACATTTCTTGTGCTCTACCTTCTTCACCTCAACTAGTCACCCTTTATATGCTCTGGGTTTCATATTGAAAATATATTTGAAATATTCCTGGATCATTACACATAACTCTGTAACATATTTATTTTTTAAATTCTGGAGAAATCTATTTTTGAGCTCACTAGTTTCCTTTATAAGTCTATCCATTTCTCAATTCAACCCACTCATAGAGTTTTTTAATTACTTTTTTCAACTAAAAATTGAATGTTTAAATCTAACTCTTTTAAAATGACCACTGCTTAACATAAACTGGGAAGAGATAAGGGAGTCATGGCCCATCTGTTCCAGTAATCAT